>NC_000012.12:114581340-114732855 GCF_000001405.40 Homo sapiens
CCATCTGTACTAAAAATACAAAAATTAGCCAGGCATGGTGGCTGTAATCCCAGTTACTTAGGAAGCTGAGACACCAGCACTGTCTCAGGAACCACCCGAAACTGGGTAATTTATAAAGGAAAGAGACTTAATTGACTCACAGTTCAGCATGGCTGGGGAGGCCCCAGGAAATTTACAATCATGGCAGAAGGCGAAAGGGAAGCAGGTACCTTCTTCACAAAGTGGCAGGAAGGAGAAAGCAAACAAGCAAAGTGGGGAAGAGCTCCTTATAAAACCAACAGATCTCTTGAGAACTTACTCACTATCAGGAGAACAGCATGGGGGAAACCACCTCCATAATCCAAACACCTCCCACCAGGTCCCGCCCTTAACACTTAGTGATTATGGGGATTACAATTTGAGATGAGATTTGGGTGGGGACACAGAGCCAAACCGTATCACCACCCAAAGATATCAACCGTTAGAATGCTACCACTTCTAGGTTTCTATGTTTTCTTTTTAATTTTGCAATGCATATTTTCATAAGTCATTATCTTTTTTTCTTTCAAGATTGGATAGTCTTTCATAAAGATAGCATCTCTGTTTCTGATTATTAAACATTACACTCATCCCCACTAACAATGACAAAACATCCATTAAAATGATGTGATACTATTTGGGGCCCTACAATATTAACAGCAAACACTTAAATTCTTTATATTACTATATTGAGTATGTTCTCTGCACTCTACACTGAACAAAAGGACTTACTTAATCCATACAACTCTATGATATGACTTTTACTATTATACCTGACTTACTGGTGAGAAAACTGAGGACAAGGTGATACGATACATCCAATACATGACAGAGCTGGGATTTGAACCCAGGGAATCTGCCTCCAGACATCATGCTGTCAACTAGGATTAGACTATCTCTCAGATTGGCAAATTTAAACTAGTGATGATAACTAGGGTTGATGGGGGTATGGAGAGACAGACCTTCATGAATGCAGATGAGAGGACAAAGTGATAGAAATCTGTGCAGGGCAGGACAGGGGCAGTAGCTCACGCCTATAATACCAGCACTTTGGGAGGCTGAGCAGGGGGTGGATCTTTCAAGTTCAGAAGTTTAAGACCAGCCTGGGCAACATGGTAAAGCTCCAACTCTACAAACAGTACCAAAAAAAAAAAAAAAAATTAGCCAGGCATGGTGGTGTATTCCTGTAGTCTCAGCTACCCAGGAGGCTGAGGAGGGAGGATTACTTGAGCCTGGGAGGTCGAGGCTGCAGTGAGCTGAGATCCTGCTACTGCCCTCCACCCTGGACAACAGAGTGAGACCCAGTCTCCAAAAAAAAAAGAAAAGAAATTTTTGGAGGGCAATTTGGGAGAATTTATAAAAAATGTATACATTTGTTTCACCTAGCAACTTTGCATTTTAGATTCAACATCTAGATCATAGATATCCACCAAAAAATACACACACACTGTCAAGGTTCACTGCAGCATAGTCTGTATAGGGAAACTTTGAATAATTAAATTAGTGAATATATGCCATGAAAAATTGATGGCTAAATCTTGACAAACGTATCAAAACAAAGAACTCAGGTATAAAGAAAAGGACTGATGCTCAGTGCTGTGCCCATTTAAAAACAAAATTAAGATTAAAGAACTGTGCTAAGAGTAGATATTAAGTGTTCTCACTTCAAATAAAAGATAAGTATGTGAGGTAACACATATGTTAATAATTAACCTGATCCACAATATATACATATTTTAAAACATCATGTTGCACATCATAAAGAGATATAATTTGTATGTATCAATTAAAACTTTAAGAAGAGCTATGAAGATCATGATTACAAAAATAGAATATTCATGTTACGAACATTGACAAAATAAAACAATATAACTAAGAAGTCAGGATGGAGGGAGGGAAAGTGAGAAGTAATAAAGAATACTCATTTCTTAATCTTTTCAGGGATTCAAACCGTCAAATATTGCAATTCGTCCTATTTATTTACTTATTTATTTATATTTGAGAGACAAGGTCTTGACCTGTTGCCCAGGCTGGAGTGCAGTGGTGCAAACATGTCTCACTGCAGCCTCAACACCTGGCTCAAGCCATCCTTTGGCCCCAGCCCCCTGAGGAGCTAGGACTATAGGCATGTGCCACCACCCCTGGCTAATTTTTTTATTTTTATTTTTATTTTTATTTTTATAGAGATGGGGGTCTCTATGTTGCCTAGCCTGGTTTCAAACCCCTGGCCTCAAGTAATCCTCCCGCCTTGGTCTCCCACAGTGCTGGGATTACAGGTGTGGGCTACTATACCCATCCTGAAGTTTGTTTTAAACATGACTCTAAGAACTCAATATTTTTCATGACCTTATTGTCTTATGTAGATTTTTTAAAGAAAAGACTATCTCTTGTGGTAAAGGAAATTGTACTAAATTTCTTCCCTTTTCTTTCTTTTCCTCCTGTCTAAGGAATTAATTCTTTTTCTTTAATTAATTAAATAAAACATATTTAATGTTTTGTATTGAAAAATTGCCCATCATGCTCAGATTGTGGTCTCCAAATACTAATTTACACTGAAAGGAACCAAGGCTTCTTGGCTAAATGACTGATTACCAGTTGGGGGAAGGAAATGGATGGGCAAGGGGTATATTTTTATACCAAAAGGCTGGGAAGCTGTTAAAAACTCCTGAGGTCTGGACAAAGGACTCAGAAGCTGATAGGATAGGCTCTCACTGGCTAAAAGTGAGAGAATTTGAGCATAAATAAGCGTAACACATTGAAATACATCAAATAGGTTTGAACTCAATAGTTCATAATGATACTCAAGAATTCACTAATTACTTTTAGGGGATGCTAGGAAACCAACTCATTATTTTAAAAATTGGAAAATAATTGAACATTTACCCTGCTTTTCCTGTAAGACCAGCACCTTAGGGTGATAAAAGAGTGTATGTTCATGACAAGCCAGAGCTACACAGTGAAATCACTGTCTGTACAAAAAATACAAAAATTAGCGAGGTGTGGTGGCATATGCCTGCAGTTCCAGCTACTTGGGAGGCTCAGGTGGGAGGATTGCTTGAGCCCAGGAATTCGAGGCTGCAGTAAGCCATGATTGCACCACTGCAATCCAGCCTGGGTGACCAAGTGAGAATCGTTCTCTCTAAAAAAAAAAAAAAAAAAAAGTACATGTACATGAACGGAAGTTTCTCTTCACAGAAGTATTCTACACAATTAATGAAGATGCAGTAGTACAATTAGAATATCACCATTTTGCACCCTATGAACTAATGAGTTTTGGCACTGATGGTCAGTGTCCACTAACATCACAAAAGATACACAAGCAGGTATAATGTACCTTCTAATGGAAGGACAGACACCACCTGGTAAGTAGTTTTGCAAACAAAAACAAAAATTGGACTTGAATCTGATCAAGCCCCTAGACTTAACTATCAATTCATAAAACACATAGGGGCAAAATGATAGCACAGAGATTCAGTCAGGAAAGCCCAGACTGGGGAAAACTCTATAGGACAAAAAGAAAATAACACAATAAATACAAATAAATGCAATCGGATCTCTATTTAGGTCTACATCTCTGTATCTAGCTATAGATAAATACAGAGCTATAGAAACAGATACCAAGAGTCTATAGATCAAAAGTGTTTTGAGAGATATATTAACCAAAAACAACATCTGACTTTTATTTGGATCTTGATTCAAACAGGTTGTTAAAGAATAAAAAAGCATTTAGAATTTTTTTTTTCTTGAGACAGGGTGTTGCTCTGCTGCCCAGCCTGGAGTGCAGTGGCACAATCATAGCTCACTGCAGCTTTGGCCTCCCGGGCTCAAGCGATCCTCTCGCCTCAGCCTCCCAAAAGGCTGGGATTACAGGTGTGAGCCACGATGCCCAGCTGCATTTAAGAAAATTTAAGAATTGGTTAGATACTTGATGTTGTTAAGGAATTATTATGGTAATGACACTGTGGTTAGGAGGGATAGCATTAGGAGATATACCTAATGCTAAATGACGAGTTAAAGGGTGCAGTACACGAACATGGCACATGTATACATACGTAACAAACCTGCACATTGTGCACATGTACCCTAAAACTTAAAGTATAATAATAATAAAATAAAATAAAAAAATAAAAGAGTTAGATCTAGCTTTTGGATTCATTGCAGAAAATAAATAAATAAATGAGTTCTAGAGCAGCGGTCCCCAACCTTTTTGGCACCAGGAACTGGTTTTGTAGAAGACAATTTTTCAATGGATAGGGCAGGGTAGTGGGGGTGGTGGATATGGTTTCAGGATGATTCAAGTGCATTATATTTCTTGTGCACTTTATTTCAATTATTATTATGTTGTAATATATAATGAAATAATTATACAACTCACCATAATGTAGAATCAATGAAAGCCCTGAGCTTGTTTTCCAGCAACTAGATGGTTCCATCTATGGGTGATGGGAGACAGTGACAGATCATCAGGCATTAGATTTTCATAAGGAGCACGCAAGCTATATCCTTTGCATGCACAGTTCACACTATGGTTTGTGCTCCTATGAGAATCTAATGCAGGCTGGGCACAGTGGCTCACGCCTGTAATCCCAACACTTTGGGAGGCTGAGGTGGGCAGATCACCTGAGGTCAGGAGTTTGAGACCAGCCTGGCCAACATGGTGAAACCCTGTCTCCACTAAACACAAAAAATTAGCTGGGCATTGTGGCACACACCTGTAATCCCAGCTACTCAAGGGGCTGAGGCAGGAGAATTGCTTGAACCTGGGAGGTGGAGATGGCAGTGAGCCGAGATCGCACCACTGCACACCAGCCTGGGTGACAGAGCAAGACTCTGTCTCAAAAAAAAAAAAAAAAAATCTAATGCAGCCACTGACCTGACAAGAGGCAGAGTCAGGTGGTAAGGCGAGTGATGGCGAGCAGGTGAAAATACAGATGAAGCTTCGTTTGCTCACCCTCTGCTCACTTCCTGCTGTGTGGCCCGTTTTCTAACAGGCCACGGACAGGAACCAGTTCATGGTCCAGGGACTGGGGACCCCTATTCTAGAGGATTTTTAAGGCAGCAAAACTTCTGATTATGATACTATAAGGTGAATACATGTTGTTACACATTTGTCCAAACCCAATAGAATGTACAACACCAAGAGTGATCTTAAAGCCTTTATTTTAAAAATGAGTTCTTATCTTTTAGAGATATATACTAAGATATTAAGCATAAAAATAATATGACATGTGGGATTTGCTTCAAAATATTTAAAGGAGGAGAGGCTGGAAGTATTAATAAAACAAGATGGCCATGAGTTGGTAAGGTGGATGATGAATAAATGGGGATTTATTTAGCTATTTTCTTTATCTTTGCTTATGCTTGAAATATTTTATAGTAACAAGTTTTAAAATTATACAGAGAATGAGGCCAGGTGCGGTGGCTCATGCCTGAAATCCTAACACTTTTGGAGGCCGAGGCAGGTGAATTAATTGAGGTCAGGAGTTTGAGACTGGCCAACATGGTGAAACCCCGTCTCTACTAAAAAGATGAAAACTTAGCCAGGCATGGTGGTGTGCACCTGTAATCCCAGCTACTCGGGAGGCTGAGGCAGGAAAACCACTTGAACCTAGGAGGCAAAGGTTGTAGTGAGCCAAGATCATGCCACCACACTCCAGCCTGGGCCACAGAGTGAGACTCTGTCTCAGAAAAATAAATAAATAAATAAAGATAAATTTAAATATATATACATATAGAGAATGACTTCATTTATATAAAATTAGTCTATTTATCAGCTAGCCATGGCAGCTCACACCTGTAATCTCAGCCCTTTAGGAGGCTGAGGCAGGAGGATCACTTGAGCCCAAGAGTCAGAGACAAGCCTGGGCAACATAGTGAGACCCCATCTTTACTAAAAATAAAAATAATTTAAAAATTAGCCTGGCATGGTGGCAAAAAAAATTAGTTTATCTATCTATACACCCATACACATACTCACACAGACACACACGCACGAATGTTTTATAATTGTATACATGTACATATACATGCATTGCTGACTGTCTTCCCATTCCTGAGCCTCATCACTCATTCCTGACACCCCATTCCATCTCAAAATGCCAAGCATCTGTAGGAACACTCAGACATAAGTCTAAAGAGGTAGGCAAGAACCGGATGACAAATACAGGAGTGTTTGCCTTGCTAAAGAGTTTGAACTTTATCCAGATGTCCATGAAGATCCAATGAAGGACTAGCAGCCTTAGTGGCTGACTTTGAGAACAGAGGAAATAGGGTGGTAAATTGGGGGCAGTTGAGGAAGAGAAGACTCTGCAATCTGAGAACAAGTTACGGCAAAAAGCGTTCCTGGGGTAGTCCCACAAGAGGGACTCAAAGTTCATTTAGAACTGGCCTTAACAGAAACCCCAGAACAAAGGTCAGCTCATTCTTGCTCATTTTCTCTGTGGCAAACTCCAGCTGGTGCTCTCAGAGGGAAGAGACTTGTAAAAATTAAAAATGAAGGGTGTTGAATCCAGCAGTTCCACTCTAAGTATATGCCCAAAAGAACTGAAAGCAGGACTTGAAGAGGCATTTATACATTTATATTCATAGCAGCATTATTCACAATAGCCAAAAGTGGAAGGAAGCCAAGTGTTCCCCAGTGGGTAAGTGGATAAACAAGATGTAGTATATCCATACAATGAAATAACATTGAGAGCCAAGGGTGGGTGCCAGTCCTTGAAGGCACACGACAGCAAACCAGACAAAAAGTAACTCTGAGGTGCTTGGAGTGCCAGGTAGCAGGCAAGCAGTGGGCTTTTCAGCGTCGTCTTTAGAATATGCAGCTCAAGGAAGTGAGATGTCAAAGCTGCCACCCAAACCGGTCAAACCAGCGTAAGATAAAGTCTTCAGAGCCCTCTATACTTTTGAACCCAGAACTCCAGATGAACTATGCTTTGAGAAAGGTGATATCATCTACGTTACTGACATGAATGATGCAAATTGGTGGAAAGGCACCTCCAAAGGCAGGACTGGACTAACTCCAAGCAACTATGTGGCCGAGCAGGCAGAATCCATTGACAATCTATTGCATGAAGTAGCAAAAAGAGGCAACTTGAGTTGGTTGCGAGAGTGTTTGGACAACCGAGTGGGTGTTAATGGCTTAGACAAGGCTGGAAGCACTGCCTTAGACTAGGCTTGTCATGGGGATCTCAGAGATATAGTGGAAATGCTATTTACTCAACGGAGTATTTAACTGAGCCAACAGAACAAGTTGGGAGACACAGCTTTACATGCTGCTGCCTGGAAGGGTTATGCAGATATTGTCCAGTTGCTTCTGGCAAAAGGTGCCAGAACAGACTGAAGAAACAATGAGAAGAAGCTGGCTTTGGGCATGGCTACCAATGCCCATGCGTCTCTCCTGAAAAAGAAACAGGAGACAGATGCAGTTCGAACATTAAGCAATGCTCTTGCTATTCCAAAACTTTTGTCTGCCAGAAGAGGGTTGGTAATCACTTTTTTAAAGTACATATGAACATGGCAGTGTTGCACTGTGTTTGAGTAGAGCAGGTAGAGGAAGGGTTCTCACCCACAGGAAGGGGAACATCACACACTGGGGCCTGTCGTGGGGTGGGGGGAAGGGGAAGGGATAGCATTAGGATATATACCTAATGTAAATGATGAGTTAATGGGTGCAGCACACCAACATGGCACATGTTTACATATGTAACAAACCTGCACATTGTGCACATGTACCCTAGAACTTACAGTATAATAAAAAAAAAAAAAAGGAAGGGTTCTCACCTTTGGTTTACCAATAAGTGACTGGTTTCAAACATTAAGGAATGCTCTTGCTATTCCAAAACTTCGTCTGCCAGAAGAGGGTTGGTAATTATTTTTTTAAGTAGATATGAACATGGCAGTGTTGCACTGTGTTTGAGTAGAAGAGGTAAATGAAGGGTTCTCACCTTTGGTTTGCCAGTGAATGACTGGGTTTTTTACTGTATAAAATGCATTGTTCACCAGAGTAGAACAAGAAGAGATGATTTCTATTTATCAAACTAAAGGAATTTTATAATTTTTTTTCTTTAAAAAAAATCAGGGCTGGGCGCAGTGGCTCATGCCTGTAATCTCAGCACTTTGGGAGGCCGAGGCAGGTGGATCATGAGGTCAGGAATTCGAGACCAGCCTGACCAACATGGTGAAACCCCATCTCTACTAGAAAATACAAAAATTAGCTGAATGTGGTGGTGCACACCCTGTAATCCCTACTGGGGAGGCAGAGGCAGGAGAATCACTTGAACCCAGGAGGTGGAGTTTGCAGTGAGCCAAGATTGCGCCATTGCACTCCAGCCTGGGAGACAGAGCAAGACTCCGTCTTGCAAAAAAAAAAAAAAAAAAAATCAGGATGGTTTTTTGATTAAAGTTCTTTATCTCAAGGATTGAGATATTTTGAATGGATTTTTCAAGGGAGGGAAGGCTTACTATAATAATAAACCAAAATACTTAACAGAAAATCATCAGCTATTCTGACAAGAATAAACATTTTAAGAGGCTTTTTAAAAAAAATGTAATATGATTCAGTGTTTAAAAGGAAGGAAGGAAGGAATTTCTCTCTCTCTTTTTTTTTTTTTTTTTGAGATGGAGTCTTGCTCTGTCACCGAGGCAGTGGCACAATCTCCACTCATTGCAACCTCCACCTCCCAGGTTCGAGCAATTCTCCTGCATCAGCCTCCCAAGTGGCTGGGATTACAGGCACCCACCACAACACCTAGCTAATTTTTTTATTTTTAGTAGAGATGGGGTTTCACCACATTGGCCAGGCTGGTCTCGAGCTCCTGACCTCAAGTGATCCGCCCGCCTTGGCCTCCCAAAGTGCTGGGATTACAGGCATGAGCCACTGCGCCTGACCAGGAAGGAATTTCTGACACATGCTACAACACAGATGAACCTTGAGAATATTATGCTGAGTGAAATAAGCCAATCACAAAAGGACAAATACTGTATGATTCATATGAGGTATCTAAAATAGTCAAATTCATGGAAACAGAAAGTGGAATGGTGGTGGCCATTGATTAACGGGTATAGAGTTTCAGTTTTGCAAGATGAAAATATTTTTTTTTCTTCTTTTGAGATGGAGTCTCACTCTGTCACCCAGGCTGGAGTGCAGTGGTGTGATCTCGGCTCACTGCAACCTCCATCTCCTGGGCTCAAGCGATTTTCCTGCCTCAGCCTCCTGAATAGCTAAGACTATAGGCGCCCACCACCATGCTCATCTAATTTTTGTATTTTTAGTAGAGACAGGGTTTCACCATGTTGTCCAGGCTGGTCTTGAACTCCTGACCTCAGGTGATTCACCCGCCTCAGCCTCCGAAAGTGCTGGGATTACAGGTGTGAGCCACCACACCTGGCCAGATAAAAATATTCTGAAGATGGGCTGCACAACAATGTGAATATACTTAACACCACTGCACTGTATGCTTAAAATGGTTAAGATGGTAAATTTTATATTATTTGCATTCTATGACAGTTAAAAATATTTTTTAAAAGGGTGTTGAGTTTTTTATAGTTTTCTAACCTTCCTTTCATTTTTAATTTCTATGTTTTTAAAGGTCTTGGTGCCTACCCAAGATGACTGTGGGGAATGTTATAAATATACATTGGGCTGGGCACCGTGTCTCACACCTGTAATCCCAGCACTTTGAGAGGCCAAGGTGGGTGATTGCTTGAACTCAGGAGTTCAAGATCAGCCTGGGCAACATGGCGAAACCCTGTCTCTATTAAAAATACAAAAACTAGCCAGGCGTGGTGGTACATGCCTGTGATCCCAGCAACTGGGGAGGCTGAGGTGGGAGGATCACCTGAGCTCAGAGAGGTCGAGTCTGCAGTGAGCCAAGATCATGCCACTGCACTCCAACCTGGATGACAAAGCAAGACGCTGTCTCAACAAAAAAATTTTAAAAAATTATTAATAAATATAGATTAAATATATAAAGCACCCTAGCAAGAGAAAAAAACCATATATAATATAAAACATATATAAACAGAATATATAATAAATATTCTTATATATGTATAGATGATATATGTCACATACATAAACATGCACTTACTTATCCATATATTTATATCAGTAAATAATCTAAACAGCACTTGATTGGTGTGTGCTGTCTTTTGTACTGGATTATAAAATCATCAACATTTATTTGATTTGGTTGGAGCTGATCATTCATACGGCTCTTCCTGTGAAGAGCCAAATGATGTAACACTAAAAGGGGGCTGTCTAACTGGGAAGAGGCTTTTGAATGTTTGTCCAGGTCCCATGTCCCCAGTCCTCAATTGTCAACCATCATCCCATCTTCACCTAACCTGTAATAAGTCTGACATTTCAATCTGACTCCTGAGTCTAGACAGGTAAAGTTATTTACCAGAAAGAAATAAAATTCATGTAACAGTAATAAGTCTATGTTTGAGTACCAATATTAGAAGTGGTAATATTTCCAATTTGTGTGTATCTTGTTTGCTACATTGAAAAAAAAAGAAACATCTCATATATTAAATTTGTGATTTGTCTTAGACAGAATTCCTCCTGAGTTGGGGATAAAGATTTGAGGGCATTTAATCTATTTGAGAGGTGACCCCTGGAAGCACCACTAGTAGAGCTGGGGATTGAGACAGATAAGGAAAGAAGCCAACACAAGTTCCATTCATTAATGAGCAGGGGACCACTGTGGGCAGCTGGGACTCAATTCTCCTCTGCTGGGGATAGGCCCCCAAATCTGGCCATAAACTCGCCCCAAAACTGGCCATAAACAAAATCTCTGCAGCACAGTGACATGTTTGTGATGGCCATGGTGCCCACACTGAAGGTTGTTGGTTTACCAGAATGAGGGCAAGAAACACCTGGCCCACCCAGGGCAGAAAACCGCTACAGGCATTCCTGAACCACAAACAATAGCATGAGCGATCTGTGCCTTAAGGACATGTTCCTGCTGCAGATAACTAGCCAGACCCGTCCCTTTATTTCAGCCTGTCCCTTTATTTCCTGTAAGGAATACTTTTAGTTAATCTATAATCTACAGAAACAATGCTTATCACTGGCTTGCTGTCAATAAATATGTGGGTAAATCTCTGTTTGGGGCTCTCAGCTCTGAAGGCTGTGAGACCCCTGATTTCCCACTCCACACTCTATATTTCTGTGTGTGTGTCTTTAATTCCTCTGACGCCACTGGGTTAGGGTCTCCCCGACCGAGTTGGTCTTGGCACTTCTGGAGACTTCTGGGAAACTCTGTAAGTTGATGTCTTGCTGACAAATGAGGAACTGGGGAATTTATCCTTGAACTCCTGCTTGTTACTAATTGAGGGCTGCCCCTGGGATACCATCTCCCAGCCACTTCTAGCCAGCTCCTGACACCGTCCAAGCACACACCTGCAACAGATGAATTCCCAGGCAGAGACAAAGCACCTGTGGGTAAGAACCTATTAGAGATTGTGGTACTGCTGAGTATCTGAGTCACAACTTACTTGGTAAAGCTTAGAACTAATGATTATGAAACCTTAAAATTGCATGATTATAATTCATTGCGCAGCCAATAACCTCCATGCTTTTTATCCATAATAAGTGGTTGAATATGAAGGAGCCTAACAATGACCCCACAGGCTGTGTAAGAACCTCTGGGGCCCCTTTGCAAATAGAGCCTGCTGTAGAATGAAACCAACACAAATTTTCAATAGCCAGGAATTGAGAGAGAGATGGAATTCTGATTACATCACTGGAACTCAATACAACATTGACCAAAATCTTGACCTACCCTTGGGAGCTCCCATTTGCAGACAAAAACTCTCTGTTTTGGCTTCATTTACTCAACTCAAACTAGCTAAGTTGAGTAAATAAAAAATCATACTGACATTCTGTATTATGGCTTGGGGAAAGGAAAAGGCATCTGTATCAAGGTCTCTCAGCTGGTCCAGAGATGAGACTCAGACAAGCCTGGGTAGAGAAGGACACAAGGCTTCCGCTGCAAGCCTTGGCTGACAATGTCACCTAAACTGTTGGGAAATGCCTAGAGGACTTCAAACAAGGGTCCAGCCATACCATCTGATTTGAATGCGACCTGTGGAAAAGACTTTGAACTTTCTTCAAAAATTAGAATTCAAGTATAAAAAATCATGAATTTACAATAATACAGAAAAAAAATCTTTGGTCCTCTTTTGAATTTGCTATGGCAGCAACTCATCCTACTAGACACTAGTAAATAACAAAAAAGAAGTAATGAAGCATTTATCCTGCCTTCTCTGTTCAAATGGTATATTTGTTGTTGCTGTTTATGAGACAGGGTCTCTCTCTGCCACCCTGGATGGAGTACAGTGGTGCAACCATAGTTCACAGCAGCCTTGACTTCCTGGGCTCAAGGAATCCTCCCACCTTAGCCTCTGGAGTAGCTGCTACTACAGGTGCATGCCACTGCTCCCAGCTCTGTCCAAACTATATTTCATGGTAAATAAATAGGTGAGGAGGGATAGTTCTTCTTTGTATAAGAATTCAATTTCATAGATGCAGAAGATAGATATATAAAATCATTTTGCATCTCCTAATGGAATAACAGAAGTAGGCAATACTTAGCAATGACTGATAAAATAATTCAATGAAAATTTGATTGTAAACTTCATAATAGATGAGTCAGACTTTTACCAACCAGACAGTAGGTATTTGGTATTTCTGATGTAATCAACCAGTAATATATAATACCACCTATGAATTACTCTTGTCAAAAAATAAATTAAGCTTGGGACTAGTCAAGTTTCACATTCAGACTTTGGATCCTGATAAATAGACGGGACAAAGGAAACAAGAATGCAATCAACCTAGTCCAGAATGCAGAAAATTTAGAATAAATGACTTGGTTCCTTATAAATGCATGACATTAAAGAGAGGAAGAGGAAAGAAAATTATTACTGATTAAAAGAGACTTAACTGACATATTAACTAAATACCACATGTGATTATTTTATAGATTCTGACTCAAATAAATAAACCATAGAAAGGCATTTTAGATTAAAAAACATATTTGAGTATTAAATGAGAGCAAAATAGAGGGCAGTTAGAACTCTCATACATGGCTCATAGAAATGCAAAATGGTTGTGGAAGACAGTGTGGCGATTCCTCAAAGATCTAGAACTGAAAACACCATTTGACCCAGCAATGCTATTACTGGGTATATACCCAAAGGTTTATAAATCATTCTACTCTAAAGACACATGCACACGTATGTTTATTGCAGCACTATTTGCAATAGCAAAGACTTGGAACCAACCCAAATGCCCATCAATGATAAACTGGATAAAGAAAATGTGGCACATATACACCATGGAATACTATGCAGCCACAAAAAAGAATGAGTTCATGTCCTTTGCAGGGACATGGATGAAGCTGGAAACCATCACTCTCAGCAAACTAACACAGGAACAGAAAACCAAACACTGTATGTTCTCACTCATAAGTAGGAGTTGAACAATAAGAACACATGGACACGGGAAGGGGAACATCACACACCAGGGCCTGTCAGGTGGTAGAAGGAGAGGGGAGGGAGAGCATTAGGACAAATACTTAATGTATGCATGTCTTAAAACCTAGATGACGGGTTGATAGGTGCAGGAAACCACCGTGGCACATGTATACCTATGTAACAAACCTGCACGTTCTGCACATGTATCCCAGAACTCAAAGTAAAATTAAAAAAAAAAGAAAATGCAAAATGGTTTAGAGACTTTGGAAAACAGTTCGTCAGTTTCCTATAAAGCTAAACATATACCCACCATAAAAACCGGCAATCCCACTCCTGGGTATTTACCAAAAAGAAATGAAAATCAGTGTTTACTCAGAAACCTATATGTGTATGTTTATACTGGCTTTATCTATAATTGCCTAAATTGAAACTATTCAAGTGTCCCTCAACAGATAAATGGGTAAATGATCTGTGGTACAGCCATACAATAAAATGCTACCCAGCAATATAAAGTAACAAACTACTGATAGACTCAATAACATGGATGAATTGCAAAAGCAGTATGCTAAGTAAAGGAAGTCACATTCAAAAGCCTATACGTGGGCCGGGTGCAGTGGTTCACGCCTGTAATCCCAGCACCTTGGGAGGCTGAGGCAGGTGGATCACTTGAGCTCAGGAGTTCAAGACCAGCCTGGACAATATAGAGAAACCCCATCTCTACTAAAAATATAAAAATTTGCCAGGTATGGTGGTATGCGCCTGTGGTCGCAGCTACTCAGGAGACTGAGGCACAAGAATCTCTTGAACCCGGGAGGCAGAGGCTGCAGTGAGCCGAGATCACACAACTGCACTCCAGCCTGGGCAACAGAGCAAGACTCCATCTCAAAAACAAAAACATACAAACAAACAAAAACCCTATATGCTTTAAAAACAGACACATAGAACAATGAACAGAAGAGAGAGACAAGAAATAAACCCAAGCAAATACTATCAACTAATTTTCAACAAGGCCACCAAGAAGATACGATGGCAGAAGAATAGTCTCTTCAATAAATAGTATTGGAAAAACAGTATCCACATGGAAAAGAATAAAACTTGACCCTTATCTTACAGCATAAACAAAAATCAACTAAAAATTGATTAGTGACCTAAACTTTAAAATCTGAAATTGTAGGCCGGGTACGGTGGCTCATGTCTGTAATCCCAGCACTTTGGGAGACTGAGGCGGGTGGATGGCTTGAGCCCAGGATTTCAAGACCAGTCAGGGCAAAATAGTGAGACCCCCGTCTCTGCAAAAATATAAAAAACAGCCTGGTGGGATGGCACATGTTTGTAGTTCCAGCTACTCGGGAAGCTGAGGTGGGAGGATTGCTTGAGCTCAGGTGGTCAAGGCAGCAGTGAGCACTCTAGCCTGGGCAAGAGTGAGACTATCTCAAAAAAAAAGAAAATCTGGCAGGTGCACAAGGTGGCTCACGCCAACACTTTGGGAGGCCGAGGCAGGTAGATCACTTGAGGTCAGGAGTTCAAGACTAGCCTAGACAACATAGTGAAACCCTATCTCTGCTAAAAATACAAAAATTAGCCAGGCTTGATGGCACATGCTTGTAGTTCCAGCTACTCGGGAGGCTGAGGCACAAAAATTAGCCAAGTGTGGTGGTGCGCACCTGTGGTCCCAACTACTCAGGAGGCTGAGGCACAAGAATCGCTTGAACCTGAGAGTCAGAGGTTGCAGTGAGCTCAGATCATGACACTGCACTCCAGCCTGGGTGACAGAGTGAGGCTCCATCAAAAAAAACAAACAAACAAACAAAAAAAAACACCACCAAAGAAAAAAGAGGGAGAAATGATAAAGCACAAATGGCAAAATAATGATTATTATTGAAGCTAGGTGACTGTTACCTGGGGTTTGTGGTGCTATTCTTTCTACTTTTGTGTATGCTTGAAAATAATCATAATGAAAGACAAAAAGAAATTGAAAAGAAAGATAAAGTGTGAAGGACTCTGTGGTCACTCCACCTGGCTTCACCACTTACCACCTATGTTGAACTTGGACACATATCTCAGCTTTGTTTCTCACCACTTAGATGTTAGCAATATTTTGACTTATAGGATTTTATGATTACCAACTGAATTAGTATAGGTGAAGTGTTTAAGTAATGAAGAAACTGTATACTCTCAATAAATAGAAGTTATGATTATTAGAAATTGGATTGGCTGAGTGCGATGGCTCACGCCTGTAATGCCAGCACTTTGGGAGGCTGAGACTGGCGGATCACATGGGGCCAGGAGTTCAAGATCAGCCAGGCCAACATGGTAAAATCCCATCTCTGCTAAAAACACAAAAAATAGCCAGGCGTCGTGGCAGGTGCCTGGCTACTTGGGAAGCTGAGGGATGAGAATCACTTGAACCCGGGAGGCAGAGGTTGCAGTGAGCCGAGATCACACCACTGCACTCCAGCATGGATGACAGAGCAAGACTCTGTCTCAAAAAAAAAAAAAAAAAAAAAGAATGAAAAGAAAAAAAGAAAGAAATTGGATTGAGGTATGTACAGGCATGTCTGATAGACTTGGGGCAGGGGAGGCAGGCAAAAGAAATCAGATTTTCAAGGGGGCAAAAAAAGTTCCTGTGCATGAGAGAGAAGACCAATATTTTTACCACAAGGCCTGCATTTTGGGAAGGCAGCAGTGGTTAGTCCTGAGTATGACATGAAATGGGTCTCTTATGCCCCCTAACCCAGCCTCTCTCTCCTCTAATGCCAGTGTGTCCTGAGGAGAAAGTAGTGTTACAAGTAAAAGGTAAATGTCACTAGTAGTCCATGTCACTCTGCTAGGTGGTAAATATGAAATAATTAAATAGGCCAGACACAGTGGCTCACACCTATAATCCCAACACTTTGGGAGGCCAAGGCGGGAGAATCACTTGAGGCCAGGAGTTTGAGGCCAGCCTGGGCAATATAGTGAGACCCTGTCTGTACAAAAAATTCAAAAATTAGCTGGACATGGTGGTGTAAATGTGTAGTCCCAGATACTCGGGAGACTGAGGTGGGAGGATTGCTTGAGCCCAGGAGGTTGAGACTATAGTGAACTGTGATCATGCCACTGTACTCCATCCTGGGCAATAGAGCAAGATCCTGTCTGTATTTAAAAAAAAAAAAAAAGGCCACGTGTGGTGGCTTATGCCTGTAATCCCAGCACGTTGGTAAGCCAAGGTAGGAGGATCACTTGAGCCCAGGAGTTTGAGACTAGCCTGGGCAACATGGAGAGATCCTGTCTCTATTTAAAAAACAAAAACAGAAACAAAAACGTTTTTTAAGAAAAGGAAAAAATAATTAAATGATCAGCATCAAGGGCTCTCTGCCATGAAATACTATCTAAAAGAAGACAAGAAAAGAAGGCATTTCCTTGTGTCTCTACTCACAGTACGTGGAAAGCATAATAAATGGAGGAATCCCAATGCAAATTAGCTTGGGCAAAAGTAGGAATAATGAGCTCTGTTACTGGAAAGGTTGAAGCAGGAGCTGGCTGCAGAGAGTGAATGCAAGTCAACTGATGGCATGAGGATCTCTCTCTCTCTCTCTCCCCCTCCCTCCCTCCCTCCCTCTTTCTCTCTCTCTCTTTTGGCTTTGCTCCTCCCTGGAGGCTGCTGGCTTATCCTCATCTTCTTCACATATGTGTCTTCCGTTGTGGTGGAGGAGGGGCAACTATGAGTGTAGAAAGCTCCAGCTCAACATCCTGTCAACACACAACCACAGAGTAAAAGGAAGTCTCCTACCTCTTGGTGTCTGTATAAAATCCCAAGGAATAGTTCTGATTGGTTCTATTGGATCATGTATCCACTCCCTGGGCCAATCACTGTAGTAGGTGAATAGGTTAGTATGTTGAGTAGGCCTGGGTTCTGGGGACTAGTACTGTGCCTGGTCACCAGTAGAAGCACAGGGAATTGGGGAGGACTACAGGGAAAGGTTTTTAAACAGTTAAAAACAAGAGAGAAGTGAATGGTTGGATTGGGAGGCAGCAGATGGAACAGTCAACTCCATGGCCCAAGATGCTCTAGGACATCAGATGGAACAGTTAACTCCATGGCTGAAGCTGCTCTAGGACATTATGTGTGCATTAGAGACACAGTTAAGTGGGCCGAGTGCAATACCATGATATCAGGACAACCATGGATGTTCACTCCAGCAGTGAGCATCAGCAGTGTGGTGGAGGAGTTCAGGGGACATTGAAGCACAGAGGACATCTATGGACAGCAGTTCAGGGAAATTCTGAGGGCAGGATCTAGAACAGAAGGACTTCATAGCTGCATGGATCTATCTGACTATAGTCAGGAAGACCCTATATCCACATAGACTTTTGGAGTGTCTAGAAACAGACCTTGGTGAGTGTAGCAGGCACTATTGCTTCCTTCCATACCCCCAACCACTCACTTTTAGTCACCCAAGTCGGCTGATATGGTTTAGCTCTGTGTCCCCACCCAAATCTCATCTTAAATTGCAATCCCCACATTTTGAGTGAGGGACCTGTAATCTCCATGTGTTGAGGGAGGGAGATGATTGGATCATAGGGGTGGTTCCCCCATGCTGTTCTTGTGATAGTGAGTTCTCACAAGATCTGATGGTTGTATAAGTGTTTGGAAGTTCCTCCATTCTTCTCTCTCCTTCTCCCTTATGAAGAAGATGCTTGATTCCCCTTTGCCTTCCACCATGATCGTAAGTTTCCTGAGGCTTCCCAAGCCTTGTGGAACTGTGAGTCAATTAAACCTCTTTCCTTTATAAATTACCCAGTCTCAAATACTATCTTTATTGGCACTGCAGAGAGTGGGGGGTGCTGCTATAAAGATAACCTGAAAATGTGGAAGTTACTTTGGAACTGGCTAACAGGCAGAGGTAGAAACAGCTTGGAGGGCTCAGAAGACAGGAAGATGTGGGAAAGTTTGGAACTTCCTAGACACTTGTTGAATGGTTTTGACCAAAATGCTAATAAGGATGTGGACAATGAAGTCCAGGCTGAGCTGGTCTCAGATGGAGATGAGGAACTTGTTGGGAACTGGAGCAAAGGTCATTCTTGCTATTCTTTAGCAAAGAGACTGGCAGCATTTTGCCCCTGCCTTAGAGATCCATGTAACTTTTGAGACAGCCAAGTGTCTAGGCAGATAAAAAGGGGTCCCCAGAGAATCTCCGACACACCCATCTGCACAAAAGTATCTGATATAAACACTTGTTTTGAAGGAACCTGCCCAGGGCCTTGTCTGAACTTGCCCAGCTACACACTGGGGGAAGAGGGGAGAAGCCTGGTGTCTTCAGTTCCTGTGTGGTGGCCTAGGATTCAATCTGAGAGGTGGATGGTCTGTTAGCAGGACTCTGAGTTTTTTCCTTTCTGCCCAATAAAATCCTGCTCTACCCACCCTTCATTCAGTGTGTCTATGTGCCTAAATTTTCCTGGTTGTGTGATAAGAACTGTGTTTTTTTTTGTTTTTTTTTGTTGTTGTTGTTTTTTTGAGATGGCGTCTTGCCCTGTCTCCCAGGCTGGAGTGCAGTGGTGCAACCTCAGCTCACTGCAACCTCCACCTCCTGAGTTCAAGCAATTCTTCTGCCTCCACCTCCCTAGTAGCTTGAATTACAGACGTTCAGCTGAACTAAGGAGCAAAATTCTGCAACATTTTGAACTTGAAAGAGATTATCTGAAATTGGAACTTATGTTTAAAAGGGAAGCACAGCATAAAAGTTTGGAAAATTTGCCTCCTGACGATGTGATAGAAAAAAAAAATCCATTTTCTGGGGAGATATTCAAGCCAGCTGTAGAAATTTGCATAAGTAATGAAGAGCCAAATATTAATTGCCAAGACAATGGGGAAAATGTCTCCAGGGCATGTCAGAGATCTTGGCAGCAGCCCCTCCCATCACAGGCCTGGAGGCCTAAGAAGAAAAAATGGTTTTACGGGCCAAGTCCAGGGCCCCACAGCTGTGTGCAGCCTCAGGACTTGGTGCCCTGTGTCCCAGACACTTCAGCTTCCAGCTGTGGCTAAAAGGGGCCAAGGTGCAGCTCAGGCCACTGCTGCAGAGGGTGCAAGTCCCAAGCCTTGGCAGCTTCCATGTGGTGTTGGGCCTGCAGGTTCACAAAAGTCCAGAGTTTAGGTTTGGAAACCTCAGCCAAGATTGCTGAGGATGTATAGAAACCACTGGATATACAGGCAGAGGTGTGCTGCAGGGGTGGAGCCCACATGGAGAACCTCTGCAGGAGCAGTGCAAAGGGGAAATGTGGGACCAGAACCCCCACACAGAGTCCCCACTGGGGCACTGCCTAATGGAGCTGTGAGAAGAGGGCCAATGTCCTCAAGACCCCAGAATGGTAGATCCAGTGACAGCTTACACCATGCACCTGAAAAAGCCAGAGACACTCAATGCCAGCCCCTGAAGGAGCTGTCCAAGGCTGTGGGATCCCACTCCTTGCATCACTGTGCCCTGATTGTGAGATGTGGAGTCAAAGGGAATTATTCTGGAGCTTTAAAATTTAATGACTGCCCCACTGGATTTTGGACTTGCATGGGGCCTGTAGCCCCTTTGTTTTGGCAAATTTCTCACATTTGGAACAGGGGTATTTATCCAATGTTTATACCTCCACTGTATCTTGGAAGTAACTAACTTGCTTTTGATCTTACAGGCTCCTAGGCTGAAGGGACTTGCCTTGTCTCAGATGAGATTTTAGACTTGAACTTTTGGGTTAACGTTGGAGTGAGTTAAGACTTTGGGGGACTGTTGGGAGGGCATGATTGATTTTGAAATGTGAAAAGACATGAGATTTGGGAGGGGCCAGGAGCAGAATGATATTGATTGGCTCTGTGCTCCCACCCAAATCTCATCTCCAATTGTAATCCCCATGTGTTAAGGGAGGGAGCTGAAATCCCCATGTGTTGAAGGAGAGAGATGATTGGATCATGGGGTCAGTTTCCCCCATGCTGTTTTTGTGATGGTGAGTGAGTTCTCATGAAATTTGGTGGTTCTATACGTGTCTGGAAGTTCCTCCTTCACTCTTCTCTCTCCTGCCACCTTGTGAAGAAGGTGTCTGCTTGCCCTTCACCTTTTGTCATGATTGTACGTTTCCTGAGGCCTCCCCATACATGTGGAACTGAGAATCAATTAAACCTCTTTCCTTTATAAATTACCCAGGCTCAGATAGTGTCTTTATAGCAGTGCAAAAGTGGGACTAATACAGCTGCTTAGTGCAGCTTATGACGCTCTACATGAGGGCTATTTTATTAGGAATGCTGGAGAACTCAGCCTGTGCAAAAACCAAGCCTGAATGTGTGGGTAAGACAGGAAATCGAGTGGACTGATGCTTCTGGAAGCAGCCCTCAACCAATGATGGTAGGAAGTTAGTGGATAATGCCCCTCCTTTCTCTCTCCCCACTTGGAATGACTCTGAGGCTCATGCTGTCACTGCCTTCCAGCATCCCCCAGCAGGATGGAGCCACAGCTGTTCACAGGGGTAGTTGGTATGACTATGCACCATTTATTGACCTTCCTCCCTGTCTCACTTTCCCACCTTCCTGCTGGTGTTTCCTAATATCCCCCTCCCAAATAAACTTGGTACATTTGAATCTTTGTCTTAGGATCTGATTTTCAGGGAATCCAGACTTTAAGAGTAACACTGGTAGGGCTAGGAGGGGTTGTGAACATCTGAGCATTTCTGAGGAAGTTTTAGAAAATCAAGTAGGTGAAGTTAAGAAGATTAGGATAGAAAGGAAAGGAAGGAGGAAAGGAGGGAGAAAGGGAAGGACAGATGGAGGGAGAAAAGGAAAAAAAGAAAAAGGAGGGAAGAAAGGAAGGAAGGAACAGTGGGAAGGAAGGAAGGAGAAAAGGAAAGAGGGAAGAAAGGAAGGAAGGAAGAAAGGCAGACAGGCGGGCATGGTGGCTCACACCTGTAATACCAGCATTTTGGGAGGCCAAGGAGGGTGGATCACCTAAGGTCAGGAGTTTGAGACCAGCCTGGCCAACATGGTGAAATCCCATCTCTACTAAAAATACAAAAAATTAGCTGGGTGTGGTGGTGCATGCCTGTAATTCCAGCTACCCAGAAGGCTGAGGCAGGAGAATCACTTGAACCAGGAGATGGAAGTTGCAGTGAGCCCAGATCTCACCACTGCACTCCAGCCTGGGCAACAGAGTGAGAATCCATCAAAAAAAAAAAAAAAAGGAAAGAAATAAAAGCCTAGACAACTGAATAATGAGCCTGCTGTTTAGTGTGTAAAAAGCGTATAAAACACACATCACAGATACATGTTGATAAGTGAATGAATTATCAAATAAATGAATAAGTTAAAGCCCCCTCCATTTTAGCTTTGTAAGTAACATAACCCTGTTCTTCTCAGAACGTTTTAATACAATTTAATACCAACAATTCAAAAGAGGTGCTAAGTAAAGTTATACCGATTCCTTAACATAAAAGCACTTCTTGGAATTTCATTTTTATCCCCTGCAAAATAGGGATAAGCATCAGTAACAATGATAATACCACCACCTTCCTCAAGAGGACTTCAGGGGCTAAAATGCAATGATGCTTTGCATAAGAGAAAGAACTCTTCTAACAGGCATTTTTGTTGTTGGTGGTGGTTATTATAACAGAGCTATGTCACTTTGATGGTATAAATAACATAATTGCTGTTTTCCAATTGTACTATAATAATGAAACTGTGCCTGCCTGGTACCTACCATATAATAGAGACTCAGTTAATGATGAATGAATAAATAGGTGAAATCTACAGGTGATTCTTACTTCATTCATTTCTCATTAACTCCTTCTCAAGAAATCACCAAACAAGGCCAGGCATGGTGGCTCACATCTGTAATCCCAGCATTTTGGGAGGCCAAGATGGGAGGATTGCTTGAAGCCAGGTGTTTGAGAACAGCCTGGGTAACATAGTGAGACCCAGTCTCTACAAAATATATATATTTTAAATTAGCTGGGTGTAGCGGTGCATACCTGTAGTCCCAGCTATTTGAGAAGCTGAGGCATGAGGATTACCTGAGCCTGGGAGTTGAAGGCTGCAGTGAGCTATGGTTGTACCGCTGCACTCCAGCAAAAAGAAAAGAAAAAAGAAAAGAAAAGAAAAGGAAAGGAAAGGAAAGGAAAGGAGAAGAAGACGAGAAGAAGAACAAATAAATCACCAAATAGATTGTCTAATTGCCTATTCTATTAGAATTGTTGACACCCATCCACCTTTCTCTTAGATTTCTCCTTTCAAGTATGCAACGTGGCTTGACTCCAGAATTTATGAGACTAAATCCCTGCTTTCACACAAATCTATTATTATGTACTTCACCTGCATGCCCTTTTCTTTTCCTTTCTTTCTTTCCCTTTCTTTCTCTTTCTTTCTTTCTTTCTTTCTTTCTTTCTTTCTTTCTTTCTTTCTTTCTTTCTTTTTCTTTCTTTCTTTCTTTTCTTTCTCTCCTTCTTTCTTTCTCTTTCTTTCTTTCTTGTTTCTTTCTTTCTTTTTGCTTTGATGGGTTTCTGGGAGATGGTGATTGTCGAATAGTGGTTACTGAGGGTCATGGAGAAAAATATAAGTTTGCAGGCTTTTGGCGGAAGCTTCTGGGCACAGTAATAGGTGAGCCTCATTCTTGGGCAGTGAATGCAGGCAAGTGGATGGCGTAAATGTTTATTTTAAGGGGGCAGTCATTTATTTTTCAGGCAGAAAGTTTATACAGCTTGAGAGAATTATTTGAAAGGAAATGAGAGCCATGGCCTATAGTACTTATGGGACTGGTCTGCCTTCCTTCTCTCTGCCCAGCTATGAAAATGAGGTTTACCCCTTCCCTGCAGCCCCCACAGCCACCACACACCTCCAGGTCTCACCATGCAGACCTCTGCACAAGGACAGTTGTTTTTGGAAAGAGCTCCACGTTGCAGCCTCAGATGGTCCCCGCTGAAGGATAAACTTAAACAAGCTTTGTGGATGTAATGAAGCTGGCCCTTGAAGCCAGGGAATTTAGCCATGTGGCTGAGAATACAGGCCTTGGCTTCTAAGGCAGAAAATCGAGCCTGGACTTGTCATTCATCCATGATGTGATCCTGGCCTCCCTTTCCCCACTTTTAAATAGATTGGTAGACTAAATGCTCCCACAAAGTCCCTTCCAGCTCTAATGTGATATTTCGGGAAAGAGGTGCGGCATATTTTAACTCACAGCTCTGCCGGCAAAAGTTCCTTGGTGCATCCTGTGCTGCTCCCTGGGCCGTGTTGTCTCTCTAATCCTTTTCTCAGCTCTTATTCCTTTATTGATTCCTTCAAAATATTCACATTGTAACAGCTGGAACAAGAAAACAAAAGAAACAACATTTTCATTTTACCTTAATTTAATTGAAAAATTCACACGTTACAGGAAACGGGTGTATACAATTCTAAGTCTCTGACTTGTAAATTTGAATTACCTCATCTGCCTTTTTGGGAAAATATTGCCATTGGTCTAGTAATATTATATTTGAATAAAGCTTTTTGGTTTTTTTTTTTGCTTTTGTTGAGATAGAGTCTTGCTCTGTCACCCAGGCTGGAGTGCAATGACATGATCTGGGCTCACTGACACCTCTGTCTCCCAGGTTCAAGCAATTCTTTTGCCCCAGCCTCCCAAGTAGTTGGGACTATGGATGCACGCTACCACACGCAGATAATTTTTGTATTTTTAATAGAGACAGAGTTTCGCCATGTTGACCAGGCTGGTCCTGAACTCCTGATCTCAAGTGATCCACCTACCTCGGCCTCCCAAAGTACTGGGATTACAGGTGTGAGGCATGGCAATGCAATGGGCTCCTGGAATATAGCCCTCAAGAAGACAAAGAACTTTCTAGAGTGGAATTTTATTCTAGTGGAGAAGGCAGACAATACTTAAGTAAACAAGTAAATAATAAGTTAATTTTAGGTCATTGTTAATTTTTTTTTTTTTTTTGAGACAGAGTCTTGCTCTGTGGCCCAGGCTAGAGTGCAGTGGCATGATCTTGGTTCACTGCAACCTCTGTCTCCCGGGTTCAAGCGATTCTTCTGCCCCAGCCTCCAGAGTAGCTGGGATTACAGACGTGTGCCACAATGCCTGGATAATTTTTGTATTTTTAGTAAAGACGGGGTTTCACCATATTGGCCATGCTGGTCTCGAACTCCTGACCTCATGTGATCCACTTGCCTTGGTCTCCCAAAGTGCTGGGATTACAGGCGTGAGCCACAGTGTCTGGCCCACTGTTAATGTTAGTCCAAGAGGCAGTAGAGCATAGTCATGCTTGACTTTGAATTGTCACTGATGAGCTGTGTGGTCTTAGGAAAGTTACTTAACCTCTCTGTGCTTCAATTTCTTTATCTGTAAAATGGAGATAAGATTATCTGCCTCAGTGTTGTTGAGAGAATTAAAGGAGTTAACATGGAAAGCTCTTAACACAGTGCCTATATAAGCTTTAGCTGCCATCATTATCATCATCCTCACCACCACCACCATCATTATCATCATTATTAATCTGCCACTATTTTCACCAATTCTTCTTTAATTTCTCTCTCTTTTTCCTGGCCTTTAGAGTCAGGTAGCCCCAGACTTGAATCCCATCCATCACCTACTAGGTGTGTGTATTAGTCTGTTCTCAAGCTGCTAATAAAGACACACCTGAGACTGGGTAATTTATAAGGGAAAGAGGTTTAATGGACTAACAGTTCCACATGGCTGCGGAGGCCTCACAATCACGGTGGAAGATGAAGGAAGAGCAAAAGGGCATCTTACATGGCAGCGGGCAAAAAGAGAATAAGAGACAAGTGAAAGGGGAAACCCCTTATAAAACCTTCAGATCTCGTGAGATTTATTCACAACCACGAGAACAGTAAGGGGGAAACTGCCCACAGGATTCAATTACCTCCCACCAGATCCCTCCCACAACACGTGGGAATTGCAGGAACTACAATTCAAGAAGAGATTTGGGCAGGGACACACAGCCAAACCCTATCAGTGTGTGACTTTCAATAAGTCACATCACCTATCTGATTTTTAGTTTCCTCATATACAGAAAGAGGATGACAATAATAATGATAGTAACGCTTCCTTCTACAATAGGATATTGTGAAGATTAAATCATAACGTGGTTCTGGTGCCTAGTGGAACCTCATAAACATTCACTTTCTTCCTCTTACTTCACATATTTCTATTTGGGCTTTTTTTTTTTTTTTTTTAAGAGAGGGTCTCACTCTGTCGCCCAGACTGGAGTGCAGCGGCGCGATCTCCGCTAACTGTAACCTCTGCCTCAAGCGAACCTCAAGCGATCCTGCCTCAGTCTCCCAAGCAGCTGGGGTTACAGGCACACGCCACTACTGCCCGGGGCTAATTTTTTTTTTTTTTTGTATTTTTAGTAGAAATGGGGTTTCACCATGTTGGCCAGGCTGGTCTCAAACTCCTGACCTCAAATGGTTCACCTGCCTCGGCTTCCCAAAGTGCTGGGATAACAGGCATGAGCCACCACGCCCGGCCACGTATTTCTATGTACTTTTTTTTTAATAGAACTGGTTTCCTTCCTATGCATTTTACGTCATGAAAAACATTATCCTGAAATGGGGTTGGAGCTTTCCCAACTGCTAAAGGGGTCCATAGCAACCACTGTAAACGTCTTGGGTTTGATCAGCTCAGTACTTTCTGATGGTGTTCATAAGCTTCTTCACCTGTTTGATATTTCTCCAGCCATCAAAATCCTTCATTAAAATTGGCAGAAAGAAAATGTGTTGCTTTTTCTGAATGCTTAGTGTTAATAATATTTATGCAATAAAACCAAACAAACACAAAGAACAGGTAATTTAATAGCCATAAGATAGAAAAAAGAGATTGTGTTGAAATTTTCTGATATAATATTGTGTCACTTCTTTTCTATCAACACTTTTGGTGAAAACAAGAGTTATAAGGTTTTTTTTTTTTTTTTTAAAGCGTAAAATAGGGGTGGGGTGGCTCATACCTATTGTCCCAGGTACTCAGGAGACTGAGACAAGAGGATCGCTTGAGCCCAGGATTTTGAAGTTTCAATGAGCCACGATCATGCTACTGCACTCCAGGCTGGGTGACAAAGTGAGACTATATCTCGAAGAAATAAATAAATATAAAAATAGGAAAGAGAAATGTTCTCATTACATAGAGAATATAGTACAAGGATTAACTAATCTTAGAATGATAGATTGTCATTAGCACAACAGATGGTTTAAATGGTCTGACTCCATTAGAGAAAAAAAATGTTTTTTGTTGTTGTTGTTGATACAGTGTCCCTGTCTCTCACCCAGGCTAGAGTGCAGTGGTGTGATCTCAGTTCACTGCAACCTCCGCCTCCTGGGTTCAAGCAATTCTCCTCCCTCAGCCTCTGGAGTAGCTGAGATTACAGATGTCTGCCACCACACCCGGCTAATTTTTGTATTTTTAGTAGAGACAGGATTTCACCATGCTGGCCAGGCTGATCTTGAACTCCGGACCTTAAGTGATCCCCCATCTCAGCCTCCCAAAATGCTGGTATTACAGGGGTGAGCAACCGAGCCTGGCCAAACATGTATTCTTAACATGTTATTTTTCTGACAGCCTCTATCTCTGCCTGCTTCTCCCAGATGTGATATTTTTAAAAAATTATAATCTTTTTGGCCTTGTTCACACAAAATCTAAAACATACACCTCATTGACCCATTGCTTAATTTCCCCTCACCTTATTTTTTTAAATTGTTGTAAGACACATTTAATATAAAATTTATCATCTCAACCATTTTAGGTGTATATACAGTTTAGTAGCATTAAATACATTCACACTGCTGTGTCAACACCATCACTGTCCATCCTCAGAACTTCTTTCATCTTATAAAACTCAAACTTTCACCCATGAAACAATAAGCTTTCATCCACTCTCCAACCCATCTCCTAGCAACCAGCACTCTACCTTCTATCTCTACGAGTTTGATGACTCTAGGTCCCACCTATAAGTGGAATCACACAGTATTTGTCTCTTTATGTCTGGCTTATTTCACTCAGCGTAGTGTCCTCAAAGTTCATCCATGTGGTAGCACGTGTCAGAATTTCCTTGTTTTCTAAGGCCAAATACTATTTCATTACATGGATACATTGCATTTTGTTTATCCACTCATCTGTTAATGGACACTTGGCTTGCTTGCACCTATTGGCTACTGTGATACGTGCTGCTATAAACATGGGTGTGCAAATATATCTTTGAGTCCCTGCTTTCAATTTTTTTGGGTAGACACCCAGCAGTGGAATTGCTGGATCATACGGTCAGTCTATGGATGGTTAATACTGAGTGTCAACTTAATTGGATTAAACGGTGCAAAGTGTTGATCCTGGGTGTGTCTGTGAGGGTTTTGCCAAAGGAGATTAATGTTTGAGTCAGTGGACTGGGAGAGGTAGACCCAACCTCAGTCTAGGTGGGCACCATCTAATCAGCTGCCAGTGCGGCCAGAATAAAAGCAGCCAGAAGAACATGGAGAGATTAGACTAGCTCAGCCTCCGAGCCTACATCTTTCTCCCATGCTGGATGCTTCCTGCCCTTGAACATCGGACTCCAAGTTCTTCAGCTTTGGGATTCGGACTGGCTTCCTTGCTCCTCAGCTTGTGGAAGGTCTATTGTGACCCTGTGATCGTGTGAGTTAATACTCCTTAATAAACTCCCCTCTATATATACATCTATCCTATTAGTTCTGTCCCTCTAGAGAACCCTGACTAATACAGTCTATGTCTAGCTTTTTGAGGAACTGCCCTACTGTTTTAGCAGCTGCACCATTTTACATTCTCACCAGAGTGCACAAGGGTTCCAATTTCTCCACATTTTTGCCAACATTTATATTTTCTTTTGAGACAGATTCTCACTTTGTCACCCAGGCTGGAGTGAAGTGCTGCAATCATAGCTCACGCAGCAGCCTCAACCTCTCAGGCTCAGGCAATCCTCCTGCCTCAGCCTCCTGAGTGGCTGGGACTACAGGCACCTGCTACCATACCCAACTAATTTTTTGTGTTATTTGTAGAGATGGGATCTCCCTGGGTTGCCCAGACTGGTCTTGAACTCCTGGCCTCAAACAATCCTCCAGACTCGGCCTCCCAAAGTGCTGGGATCGCAGACATAAGCTGCAGCACCCAGCCAACACTTGTGTTTTCTGTTTTGTTTTGTTTTTAATAGTAGCCATCCTAATTGATGTAAAGTGGTATATCTTTGTGGTTTTGATTTACATTTGCCAGATGATTATTGATGTTGAGCAGGTGTTCATGTGCCATGACTTTCTTTTTTTCCAGTGGATAGTGGCCTCCTTTATTGGATTCAGTATGAGAACAAGGAGACCTGGGTTCAGCTCTATTACTTACCAGGTAGCACATCACTGGGCAGATAACTGCCCCTTCTTTAATCCTGACACCTTTTTTGTTTGTTTGTTTGTTTGAGATGGAGACTCACTGTTGCCCCAGGCTGGAGTACAGTTGTGCGATCTCAATTCATTGCAACCTTCTTCACCTCCAGGGTTCAAGCAATTCTGCTTCAGCCTCCCGAGTAGCTGGGATTACAGGTGCCTGCCACCACCGCCGACTAATTTTTTGTATTTTTAGTAGAGATGGGGTTTCACCATGCTAACCAGGCTGGTCTTGAACTCCTGACCTCCAGTGATCTGCCCACCTCGGCCTCCCAAACTGCTGGGATTATGGGCATGAGCCACTGTGTCCTGCCTAATCCTGACATATTTTTAAGGGGACAAATCTAGTTTTACTTTTCTGTCTATTTTATATTTGCTTTTATTATTTTAATTACACAGGAAATTCAACTTTGCTGCAGGAGAAATAGAAAATACAAATAAGCAGTTAGGGGAAAAAAAGGACTCTCATAATCCAACACCCAGAGATAAAACATTATTAACATTTATAAGAATATTAAATATGCTATCTTCTAACCAACCTTTTTACTGAAAATATTACAGCTGTCTTCCTAAGTCAATCATACAGGTAAACAAATTGTTTTTCTGTCAGTATAATATTCTTTACAAACATGCTATAAGGCTTCAACTCAGCCAGGCATGGTGGCTCGCACCTGTAATCCCAGAACTTTGGGCGGCTGAGGTGGGGGGGATCACCTGAGGTCAAGAGTTTGAGACCAGCCCGGCCAACGTGGGGAAACCCTGTCTACTAAAAATAAAAAATTAGCTGGGCATGGTGGCATGTGTCTGTAATCCCAGCTACCCAGGAGGCTGAAACAGGAGAATCACTGGAACCTGGGAGGCGGAGGTTGCAGTGAGCCAAGATCCTGCCACTGCACTCCAGCTTGGGCGACAGAGTGAGACTCCATCTCAAATAAATAAATAAATAAATAGTTTCAACTCATCCCCATCTCCTGGACATTTCTTTTTGTTTTGTTTTGAGACAGATCAGATTCTAGCTCTGTTGCCTAGGCTGGAGTGAAGTGGCACGATATTGACTCACTGCAACCTCTGCCTCCTGGGTTCAAGTGATTCTCCTGTTTCAGCCTCCCGAGTAGCTGGGACTACAGGTGTGTGCCACCTCGCCCAGCTAATTTTTGTATTTTTAGTAGAGACATGGTTTCACCATGTTGGCCAGGCTGGTCTCAAGCTTCTGAGCTCAAGTGATCCACCCGCCACGGCCTCCCAAAGTGCTGGGATTACAGACATGAGCCACTGTGCCCAGTCTATTTAGGTTATTTCCATTCTGCACATTTTAAGTCACTTATGAATAGGGTGACTCCTTTACGCAGTGGTTTCTTTATGCTGTGTCTGAGTGATTCCTGAAGCTTGAACTGAGTGGCAGGGACACAGTGTGGATATTTACATTGAGCAAATGAAGACTTTGGACTCTGGCCCCGCACAGAGCTCCTCACTGTCAGCCTGGAAGTTTGTTTTTTTTTTTTTTCCCACACTCTGAGCTCATTCCCATTGTGAAAATGAGAAGTCATCAAGAGGTCACAAGATGACATGAGATGATAATACCTGTAGGGGAATGTTGACTTCTAAAGAAAAGAGAAGGGATCATTATTTACCGATAACCTACCATTTCATGGCATTTCCCAGCACAGTGTATGTAGCACAACTCCAGTTCAATGCCCCCTGATATTTAATATAATAAAGAGTCTCATGGCCCCCAGAGGTTACATCACACAGGAAGAAGACAAACATGAGCATAAACAGGAAGATTTTATACTTCTCACTGAATCTCTCTCACCGTTTCCCTCTTGTCTGCCAGGTACCAGGTGCCAGAAAATCTCCCACCTCCCTTGTCCCAGTAAAAGGATAAAGCATTCAGTGGCCCCTGGTAGCTCTTTTTCAGGTTCTCACAGATCTCAAACACCCTATCCCTTCCCTTCCACCAGAGGACTTGACGCCCCACCCAAAGCACACTCCGACCCACTTCCCACACGGCAGCCAGAATGGGAAATCAGCCTCAACCCACATAGGAATCATGATGAGTGCGGCTGACACTCACCACGTGCTTCATGTACACCAGGCACTGGATGTGCATGTACACAGGCCCTGCACATAACATCCTGTTTGAAGGGCACAAAAATCCCAAGAGGATGGTATTGCTACTCCCGCTTTACAAAAAGAAAAAGGAACAGAGGCTCAGAGAGTCCCAACACACCATGGCTCATCAGCAGGGAGCGAGTTTTTAACCCCAAGTCTGTGAGATCCTGGTGCTCCCAACTAGTATATTTTAGTGCCTCTTTGAACCATGACATTGGCCATGAAGAAAGTGGTAGCATCTCATCACATGTTCTAGAGAGGCCACTGGAACATCTTCTAGACTTTCTAAAGAGAGAGTTAACCTCTTCTTCTAATCAATATATAAGAACCATGTGTCACATTAATAAAGCTAATCATGTAATTGCAGATATATGTATACATACATACACATATATACATATGTATACATGCACTCATATATATACCTATGCACAGTAGATGCATACATATATGCATACATTTGTATGTATGAATTTACATACACAATTGCATATAGACAAACACTATATACATGCATATATATAAAGTATAAGGTCAGAAACTAAATACAGTATATATGTATGTATATATATGTAAATGTGTATATATATATGAACTCATGTATATACATTCACATATATATGTACATATGAGTCAGATCAGAAATTACATTTATTTTTCTTGTTCATGTGTTTCTTCTTCAGTGATATATCCCCACCATTCTGTGAGAATGGTTGGAAATTCTGATCACTTCACACCCAAATTCTCTGGTTTGTTGCAAATTTTTTTTCTCAAAATAATACTACTCAAATTTTAAAAATATATTTATTTTTAAAAGAGTTGGGCATATCTGATATAGCTTAGGCTAAGCTAAGTGTTCATGGTTTCTATCCAGTGAAATATGAGTGAACAAGAGTTTGGGGAGATTTAAGGATGGATTCATATGCAGCCATTAGAATATTTCCGGAATACCTACCTACTAGAAGCGGAACTTATAACATATTATGATCATGCTTGTGGAAATTTATGCTGGCTAGCATTTGGGGGACATCGCCTGGATCAAGGCCAAGGTCACTCTTGTCTCTAGCACACATGCAGATATGCTTCTCATCACAGTAGATACCTTAATTCAGAATGATCCTACAGAAGCAGACATCCCTACCAGATTGCTATTGCTGTGAATGCAACTCCGAAGGGGACTGGACCACAGGCAGCTGGACTTTACATAAGTTACAACAGGAATTTCTGTCCAATGGATAAGCTTGGCCTTTATGACATACACATCAGAGGAAAGAGTTAGCCAACAGGTAGGAGCTACTGTGAGGCTGATTTCAAATATGTTGCCTTTTTCCTATCTTCAGCCTTTAAGATAGTGCAAATCTTTCTATTTTCTCCCTACCTCCAGCTTTAAGTCCCTTCCAGTGATTGCCAAAATCTGAAGCCCAAAAGTGGGGATAGGAAGAAAGCTTGACCCAAAAGTGTCCTTGGATGTTGTGAATACAATGCGTTCATAATTTTTCTTGTCACACTGTATCACACACTAGTTCTAGCTTTTATGTCTCATGATCCTCCACCAGAATGTATAAAATTTAAAAAAGACTGTCAGTACTAACAACTGGTAAGGCTGTAGAGCAATAGGACACAATGCTTTTGGGAATGTGAATTGGCAGTATCACTTTGGAAAACTGCTTGGCAGTATCTGATAATACTGAACACATGTATGTTCCCATGACCCAGAAATTTCACTCTTAAAGGCATACTCCCCCTAGAATGAGTGCTTATGTGCACCAAAAGACATGCATAAGAATATTTTAAGCAGATTTATTTGCTACAACTCGAAGCTGGGAAACAAAACAAAACAAATGTCCATTGAGAACAGAAAGGATAAATGCGGTATGCTCATGAAATGGAATACTATACAGTCATGAAAAAGAACAAACTGGAGCCACGTGCAATAAGTTAGATTAATTCACAGACATGACTGAAAGAAACCAGACATAAAAGAGAACATAATGTGTGGTCCTATTTGTATGAAGTTCAAAAATAGGCAAAATTATCTATGGCAATAGAAGTCAGAAGAGAAGTCAGAATAGAAGTCAGAATTATTTCCCTTCTTAGGGAGAGAATTTACTGGCAGGACGGGGCGTGATGGCTCACGCCTGTAATCCCAACACTTTAGGAGGTTGAGGTGGGAGGATTTCTTGAGCCCAGGAATTCCAGACCAGCCCTGGCAATATAGGAAGACCTCATCTCTTTTTAAAAAAAATTTTTTTTAAATTTTGGTGCATGCCTGTCATCCCAGTTACTTGGGAAGCTGAGGTGGAGGATTGCTTTAGTCTAAGAGGTCGGGGCTGCAGTGAGCTATGATCACACCACTGCACTCTAGCCTGGGTGACAGAGCACAAGACCCTGTCTCAAAAAATAAAAATAAAGAAATATGTATGTGTTTACTATGTGACAGGAACTGTTTGTAAATAAAGGACTTTCTAAGAGACAATCAGAAGGGGGACACTTTCCAGCCTGGCTCAGCATCTCCAAAATGCAAATGAAGATATTACTCTCCCTCGTGAATTTCAGAGATACCCTCCCTGCTCTCATTCTGGAGAGACCAGTGGGAAAAATTGACCCTTCCTTGGCCCCAGTGTCCTCTGCCCACCGCCTCCTCCCTGAGAGCAGACATCCCAGCACTTCCGCTGGAACCCGACAAGCTGTCTCCCTCTGCCACAGGACACTCAGCCAGAGAGTCACTGGTCACTCTGTGGAAGGTTAATTGCTGGTCCCACTACAATAATTACACCCACGGCTAGAACATGGAGCAAAGCAACAAATTTCAACATCACAGGGTGGAGAGGGCAGGGAGAATCACAAAGCTGTTGAAACTGAAGTTCTCAATGCGTGCGATTTATGGCTGAGCAGCTATCTCAGTCTGTAGCATCAAAGCCTTAGGTGAGAGCAGAGGTGACAGGGACACCCAATGCCTCGGTGGCCAGTTCCTGCTCAATTTGAGGTCACAGGTCACATGAGATCTATCTGTTGACTTGGAAACTCTTCAAATCTGGGCACAACTCCCTGTGCCCACAGATAACTCCATTCTTCTCACACGCTTTTGGGTATCTCGAGTGGTGATTGAGAATAGCTCCTGCTCCTCTCCTTCTCTGCCAGCTGCTAGAGGAAATGTCTCCGCTATGAATAGTAGGAATTGTGTTTAATATTTGCGAGATTTGCTTCAAAATCATGTGGATAGGCCGGGCGCGGTGGCTCATGCCTGTAATCCCAGCACTTTGGGAGGCCGAGGCGGGCGGATCACAAGGTCAGGAGATCGAGACCATCCTGGCTAACATGGGGAAACCCTGTATCTATTAAATATACAAAAAAATTAGACAGGCGTGGTGGCGGGTGCCTGTAGTTCCAGCTACTCAGGAGGCTGAGGCAGGAGAATGGCCTGAACCCGGAAGGCAGAGCTTTCAGTGAGCTGAGATCACACCACTGCACTGCAGCCTGGGCGACAGAGCTGGACTCCATCTCAAAAAAAAAAATAAAAAAAGGTCTGGATAGCAGTTACCTTTGGTAGAGTTATAGATAACCCTGAGATTAGCCATTAGTTACAAGTAACTTCAAAATCAGTAATTAATTTATGAGTAGTGGGTACATGGGGTCCATGAAGCCATTCACTCTCGTTTTGTATTTGTTTGAATTTTTTCATATTAATATCTTCTTATTACATTTTCATATTAATGCAAAAACAAAACATGTTTTTTGAAGGAGCATGGTGGCTCACATCTGTAATCCCAGCACTTTGGGAGGTCAAGGTGGGAGGACCACTTGGGCCCAGGAGTTCAAGACTAGCCTGGGCAACATAGCAAGTCCCTGTCCCTACACACACACACACACACACACACACACAATTAGCCACACAGGCATGGCCTGGTGGTGTGCATTTGTGGTTACAGCGACCCCATGAGCTGATGTGGGAGGATTACTTGAGCCCAGGACATCGAGGCTGCCATGAGTCGTGATCGTGCCACCACTGACCTCCAGTCTAGTGACAGGGAAAGCCAATCGCAAAAGAAGGGGAAAAAAAAGACAATCGACTAAGCTGAACGAAATAAAATCCAAAGTAAGAATTCAGGGAAGGCCTTCAAAGAAGACATTCCAGGCCGAGCACAGTGGCTCATGCCTGTAATCCCCGCACTTTGGGAGGCTGAGGGTGAGTGGATCACCTGAGGTCAGGAGTTCAAACCAGCCTAGCCAACATGGTGAAACTCCATCTCTACTAAAAATACAAAAATTAGCCGGGCATGGTGGTGGGTGGCTGTAATCCTAGCTACTTGGGAGGCTGAGGCTGGAGAATCACTTGAAACCGGAAGGCTGAAGTTGCAAAAAGCTGAGATCACTGCAAAAAATTAGCTTGGCTAACTTTTTACGTTTCTTTATTTGTAGAGACAAGATCTTACTATGTTGCCCAAGCTAGTCTTGAACTCCTGGGCTCAAATGATCCTCCATCCTTGGCCGCCCAAAGTGCTGGGATTACAGATGTAAGCCACCACACCCAGCCCTTATGTTTAATTTTAAACAAAAGTGCAGCTTTAGATGATCTCATCTTAACCACCAATAAGACCAGGCATTATGTAAGGGGGAGAACTGAGGCTCAGAAGAAATGAGTGGCATGCCTCAGATCCACCAGCTCATGGTAAAAGAGCAAGAACGGGAATCTAGGCCTGCCAATATAGTCTTGTATTCTCCCTCTGTGACTACATCCTGGAGGCCTCAACACCCATCCTTGCTGTTTGATAGGTCACTTCCAGCACTGACGTTGGAGAGAAACCAAGAAGCAGCACAGGGGTTGGGATTAGGAGGTGCATCCATGTCATCTGTGTATTCGTGGGAAGCAACTGTACAGGAAGAGCGTTCCCCTGGGCTGGGTTTTCCCAGTATCAGACCCTGGGACAACGATGTGAAGGCAAGTGGTTTATTTGGGAGGTGACCCCAGGTAGCACTGGTCCCCTACCAGTGCTTTTTTGTTGGTTTTTGCTGATTTTTATTTTTTTGCTGTTCTTGTTTTTTTTTTTTTTTTTTTGTCTTTTCTTTTTCTTTTTTTTAGACTGGGTCTCATTGTCACCCAGGCTGGAGTGCAGTGGCACAATCACAGCTCACTGCAGCCTTGACCTCCCAAGCTCAAGCAATCTTTCTGTCTCAGCCTCCCAAATTGCTGAGATTACAGGTGTGAGCTACCATGCCTGGCCTATGTCTTTTATTTCTTTTTTCTTTCTTTCTTTTTTTTTTTTGAGACAGAGTCTCGCTCCATCACCCAGGCTGGAGTGCAGTGGCGCAATCTCGGCTCACTGCAAGCTCCGCCTCCCAGGTTCACGCCATTCTCCTGCCTCAGCCTCCCGAGTAGCTGGGACTACAGGTACCCGCTGCCACACCCGACTAATTTTTTGTATTTTTAGTAGAGACGGGGTTTCATCGTAGACAGGATGATCTCAATCTCCTGACCTTGTGATCTGCCTGCCTTGGACTCCCAAAGTGCTGGGATTACAGGTATGAGCCACCACACCTGGCTTTTATTTCTAATAATCCATCCTTCCCTACCAAAAAGACACCTGCACTCACATGTTCATCACAGCACATTCACAATATAAAAGAAATGGAATCAACCTAGGACTGGATACAGAAAATGTGGTACATATACACCATGGAATACTATGCAGCCATAAAAAAGAGAATGAAATCATGTCCTTTGCAGCAACATGGATGCAGCTGGAGGCCATGATCCTAAGCAAATTAACACAGAAACAAAACCCCAAAATACCCCATGTTCTCTCTTACAAGTGGGAACTAATCATTGGGTACACATGGACATAAAGATGGGGACAACAGACACTCTAGAAGTGGGGAGGGAGGGGAGGAGGCAAAACTGAAAAACTACCTATCAAGTACTATGCTCACTGTTTGGGTGACGGGTCCAATTGAATCTCTAACTCAGCATCACACAACATACTCATGTAACAAATCTGTACATGTACCCCCTGAATCTAAAATTTACAACAAAATTGAAAAACAATCTATCCTTCAGAAATACTCACCCAGGCATACAACAATGTAATTGTTGCAGCATTGGTTATAACCAACAAAAAAAATGAAAACAACCTCAGTGTCCATGAACTGGGGATTAGTGAAATAAACAGAAGCACAGCTGTATTATGGAGCACTCAGCAGCAGTTTAGATGTACTGTTATGGTAAGAGGTCCCTGATATATTGTTATATGGAAGAAGAAAAAAAAGCAAGTTGCAACAAAATAGGTTTTGCCTTATTTAATGTTTTCTATATTTAAAAAAAAACGAAGGGCCAGGTGCAGTGGCTCATGCCTGTAATCCCAGCACTCGAGGAGGCCAAGGTGGGCAGAATGCTTGAGTCCAGGAGTGTGATACCAACCTGGGTAACACAGCAAAACCCCATTTCTGCTAAAACATTAGCCAGGCATGGTGGCGTGCACCTGTAATTTCAGCTGCTCGGGAGGCTGAGGTGGGAGAAACACCTGAGCCCAGGAGGTCGAGGCTGCAATGAGCCATGATTGTACCACTGCACTCCAGCCTGGGCAACCAGCCAGAGTGAGACCCTGTCTAAAACATAAATAAATAAATAAATTAAATAAAACAATGAGGAAGGCTACTCACTAAACTACAGATGGTGATTTCCTCTGGGGAGTGACATTGGAGGATAAGGGATTAGAGAAAATTTTTACTTTCTTTTTCTTTTTCTTTTTTTTGAGACAGGGTCTCACTCCGTCACCCAGACTGGAGTGCAGTGGTGCCACCTTGGCTCACTGCAGCCTCAGCCTCCTGGGCTCAAGGGATCCTCCCCACTCAGCCTCCTGAGTAGCTGGGACTATAGCCATGTGCCACCATGCCCAGCTAAAATGTTTCCTTTTTTCTGTATATACTTTTGCCTTTTCATTTTTACAATGAATCCATATTACTTTCGCCATAAAACCAAGGCAAAATTATATATGTAATAAAAGCTCAACTTCTTGGCAGGGCAAAGTGGTAGCTGAGCAGATACTGGGAAAAGACTGCCTCAGTAGCTAGCTGGATTCAGCCAAGAGGTGACCAGGAATCCTCACGTCTACCTGCTCAGGGTGTCATTTGTAGGCATCCATGATCTATTGATCATGGCTGTGTAAGGCACAAACCAACCTCAGCCTTCACCTCACTGGCACCAGATGCCCATCAAGTCTCAGCCTTTAATTGACTTTTCTAGCTTACCTCCTGTCTCTTGGGTCTATGGGTTTAGTAATTTCCACTGGGTCACACTGTAAACCCTTATACTGAGAACAAAACAACATCATTAAGAGGAAGTATGGTGTTGTGTTTGAAAGCATTCATGCTCTGGAGGCACTGCCTCGGTTTGAATCCTGGGAGTCCTAATAACTAGCTCTGTGACCCTTAAGCTTGTTGCTTAACTTCTCTGAGCCACAGCCTCCTTATCTGTAAAATAGTAACAATAATACGACCTATATAATAGGGTTCTTCTGAGGATTAAATAAAAAAAAATACAATGAAGTGTTCAGAAAGTAGTGCCTGGTACCTGGCAATGGCTCAATAAATATGAGTTACTATTTTTTTAAATTTTACTTTAAGTTCTGAGATACATGTGCAGAACATGCAGGCTTGTTACATAGGTATACATATGCCATGGTGGTTTGCTGCACCTATCAACCCATCATCTAGGTTTTAAGCCCTGCAGGCATTAGGTATTTGTCCTAATGCTCTCCCTCCCCTTGCCCCCGACCTCCGACAGGCCCAGGTGTGTGATGTTCCCCTGCCTGTATCTATGTGTTCAAATGTGAGTTACTATTTTATTTGTTTGTTTGTTTGTTTGTTTATTTATTGAGACAGTGTCTCACTCTGTTGTCTGGGCTGGAGTGCAGTGGCATGATCATAGCTCACTGCATCCTAGACCTCCTGGGCTCAAGCGATCCTCCTACCCCAGCCTTCCGAGTAGTTAGGACTATAGCTGTGCGCCACCACGCCGGGCTAATTTTTGTGTTTTTTGTAGAGACAAGGTCTCACTATGTTGCCCAGGCTGGTCTTGAACTCTTGGGTTCAAGTGATCCTCCCACCTCTGCCTCCCAAAGTGCTGGGATTACAAGTGTCAGCCACCATATCTGGCCATGAGTTGCTAGTTTAATCACTCTTTATTGAGCACCTACTACCTATCAGGACTTTTCATATGCTATTTGTTATTTTTCCAACTTCTCCACAAAGCAGGTATTGTTTATTCCTGTCTTATAGGTAAGAGAATATATATGTCTTAGAAAATATATGTGTAGGTCAGTACCTGTAATCTCAGCAGTTTGCCCACCGTGGGCAGATGGTCCGAGCAGAGGAGTTCGAGACCAGCCTGGACAACAGAGTGAGACCTTGTCGCTACAGATAATTTAAAAATTAGCCAGGCATGGCGGCGTGCCTGTGGTCCCAGCTATTCACAAGGCTGAAGTGGGAGGATCTCTTGAGTCTGGGAGGCCAAGGATGCAGTGAGCCATGATCGTGCCACTGCACTCCAGCCTGGGCAACAGAGCAAGACCCTGTCTCAACAAACAAACAAAAACAACAAAAAGCAAACAAAAAAGAAAATACATTTGTAATGCTCAGAGAGCGAGGGATCTTAAGAATTGCTCTTTCTTTGGCACCCATTAAAAGAGGAAATTTAAGCTGGGCACAGTGGCTCACACTGTGATCCTAGCACTTTGGGAGGCCCTGGTGAGCAGATTGCCTGAGCTCAGGAGTTTGAGACCAGCCTGGGCAACGTGGTAAAACCCCATCTCTACTAAAATACAAAATATTAACTGAGTGTGGTGGCATGTGCCTGTAGTCCCAGCTACTCGGGAGGCCGAGGAAGGAGAATCGCTTGAACCTGGGAGGTGGAGGTTGCAGTAAGCCGAGATCATGCCACTGCACTCTAGCCTGGGCAACAGAGTGAGATTCTGTCTCAAAAAAAAAAAAAGGCAATTTGTATTTTCCAAAAGTGATTAAAGCAATATTTCTGATGCCATAATCTCTTCCAGAAACTTGGCACCCTTCCATCGAGAGACAGAGCTACTTCTCCTCCTTTTGAACCTAAGCAGGCCTTTGTGACTGGCTCAGTGAATGGAATATTGCAGAAGGAAGGCTGTGTGACTTCTGAGTCTAGGTCATAAACAATGATAGAGCTTCCATCTGAGCCTTTTCTCGCTTGGGACATTCACCCTTGAAATCCAGCTACCATGTTGTAAGGCAGCCCAAGCTACATGGGGAGGCCACATGGTAGATGTTCTGGCCAATGGCCTCAATTGAGTTACCAACCAGCAGCCCACATCAACCAGCAGACACATGAATGAGTGAGCGCTCTGATGATCTCTGCCTACAACCTTTGAGCCATCCCAGCTGTTGCTGAGTGGAGCAGAGAGAAACAGTCTTCACCAAGCCCTGCCCAGGTTGTACATCTATGAGCAAAATGCTATTGTTGCTATTTGAAGCCACTAAGTTTTAAGGCAGCTTGCCACAAAGATAAGGATACCTGGAACACTATGTGTCAAGTCACTGGGCAGAGACATCATCTAATTTAATCTTTAAAACAGCTGCTTTGGAAGATATCCCTGCTTTATAGATGCAGAATTAGGACTTGAAGGACCAAGATCACATTGCAAGTAAGTGGAGAAACCAGAATTCCTACCCATGTCTCTCTGGCTGCAGAACCCACATGCTTTTGATAAGTAACACTCACCCCAGGTAAAGCTGGGAAGAATCAAAGTTATGTATCTGCTATCAGGACCATGACACCCAAAAGTCAGTCCCTAAAATGGATTACTCAGACAGAGACATTTCACTTTATCGAGAATTATTTTCTTAAATAAGAGTCCTTCATGGGCATCTCGCAAAGTGTCTCTCCACATTGGGACTCATTCATGTCCTGCCTGCTGCTGCTGTATTCCTTGGAGAGACCCAAGATTGTGGGAATGGGATGTGCTGAGTGTGGGAAGATGTTTGTTTGGAAGCCTAAGGTTTTATGGGAATTCCTTCATCTCTGGGGATAAATGGTAGCTTACGCTAAGCCCCTGATATACATGCTGATTAACTTAGATTGAAATTTGTGATGGGAAAATTCAAACAGAGGCATTTCCTCCAATCCACCCCCCTCTCCATTGAACTTTGACCACAACCGCAAACACCACCAAGAAACAGCTTTCCATAATAAAATAATATTAAATAATTCACTGGCAATTATAGATAACTTCCAGAATTTAACCAAATCCCATCAATCCCGTGTATCATGTACCATTAGAATACCCATTTTTATGGATGAGAAAACTGAGGCTCAGAGAGGGAAGTGATTTGACCCAGGTCAAAGAGCTAGGAAGTAGAAGAGGCAGAATTTGAACCAAGTTCTGTTTGATTCAGAAGCTGGTCCTCTTTATAACTGCAAAACTGATTTCTTACAGATAGGGAAGAAGAGAACAAATCAGTTGGAAGAAACAGAATGAGCAAAGTCAAGAAGACGTAAAAGCAAGGTGCATCTGACTTTACAATTCAATAGAATAAAAAACACAACAATGACGAAAATGGTGTAAAATCTGTTCATTATAAAGTGACTACCTTCACCCAGAAGAAGTCCCTCCAGTAAGGGTTCACAGGGGGGATAATGTTTGAGTCTTGAAGACCATGTCAAATGCCAATCATCTAGAAGGACGTTATTATTAATATTACTATGTTGGTGGCCATAACTATTAGCATTATTTGTGTATGTGCTGATATGGTTTGGCTCTGTGTCCCCACCCAAATCTCATCTCCAATTGTAATCCCCACAGTGAGGTGGGGATTACGGAGGGACGTGTAATCCTCAGGTGTGGAGGGAGGGAAGCGATTGGATCATGGGGGTGGTTTCCCCGATGCTGTTCTCGTGATAGTGAGTTCTCACGAGAGCTGATGGTTTTAAAGTCTGGCACTTCCTCCTTCTCACACTCACTCTCTCCTGCCACCTTGTGAAGAAGGTGCTTGCTTCCCCTTCGCCTTCCACCACGATTGTAAGATTCCTGAGGCCTCCCCAGCCAGGTGGAACTGTGAGTCTATTAAACCTCTTTCCTTCATAAATTACCCAGTCTTGGGTATTTCTTTATAGCAGTGCGAAAGTGGACTAATATATGTGCATTGGTGAGAGTCAATAGTTGTATGTGACAGAATCCCAACTCAAACTAGCTTTAAGAGAAAAATGAGATTCACTGATTTACGTATGTGGAAAGGAAAACGTGGTTACATAGATTCTAACAATATTGGCTGGTCTCAACTCAGCCCTCTTTAACTCTCTTCTGCCTTGCCTCTCAATGCATTGGTCTCATTCTAAAGCTATTTAGCTGGGTTTTCCTGGCTACAGCATAGCTCCAGGCAGCTTCAGGTGAGTGACATCAATCACCTCAGCACCCCAAAGCTAAAAAGAAAAGCCTTTTGCCTCCAGCATTGAGGGACATAATGCCTAGAAATGATCCTATTGGTTAGGTTGGGGTTTTATGGTTCTCCCTGAGCTAATCACTGAGGCCAGGACATGGGAATCTGTGATTGGCCAACTCTGGGTCACATGGCCCACCATCACCCATAACAGCCAACCAGTAAAATTGCTTCTCTCATAAAGCTGATGTGACCATTAAATGAGTTAATATTTGTGAATGCTCAGAAAAGTGCTTGGCAAATATTAAATATTAAACCTTCAACAAATGTTAGTCATCAGTTTACCTCTTTTCATTCCCTCAAGACATCCAAGCTCCTCTCCTTGACTGCTGAGACCAGAGCTCATGTACCCCTTTTATTAACAAAACAGCCACTTTCAGGCACCATCATATTTGATGCCTCATAAGAATACTGTGAATATGGCTGGGCACAGTGGCTTATGCCTGTAACCCCAGCACTTTAGGAGGTCAAGGTGGGTGGATCACTTGAGGCCAGGAGTTCGAGACCAGCCTGGCCATCCTGGTGAAACTGCGCGTGGTGGTATGTGCCTGTATTCCTAGCTACTTGGAAGGCTGAGGTGGGAGGGTTGCTTGAACCTGGGAGGCAGAGGTAGCAGTGAACCAAGATCATGCCACTGCACTCCAGCCTGGGCGAGAGAATGAGACTCTGTCTCAAAAAAAAAAAATGCTGTGAATAGTTGTATATTTTCGTTCTCATTTTAGAAAAGAGAAAATTGTGAGGCTCAGCATCTGCCTTAGTCCAAGAGCAGTGGCTGCATGTCAATAAGTAGCTTTAGAAAGAATGCCTTTGACAGACGGGAAACAGAGTCCCAGAGAGCAAAGGGACCTCTTCACATTGTGTCAGTAACAGAGCCTGGTTTCAACTCGACTCTCCCAAACTCTCTCCGCCTCTCTTCTAAGTGCACTGGCCTCATTCTCGTGCTATTTCTCAGTCCTGGCCTCATGTTATTCCCTTGATATGAAGCTTTAGTTCACTGGCTGCCTCTTCAATGCCAGCGCCTGGGCTGAGCCCTTTTCTTGCATTACTTATCGCATCCCTGTTTTCACATGGCCCTCTGAGAGGTCAAGTGACTTCCTCAAGGTCATACAGCAAGAAAGTGGCAGAGGCAGGATTAAGATTAGGACTATCAGACCCTGGAATCCATACTTGAGATCTCTGTACCAAACTGTCTTTGGCTCAGATTAAGTTTACTGAAGGATTTCCGGGATGTTGCTTTGTGCCAGATCAGGAAGACGTATGGGGCAGTAGAAAGGGTGTACACTTAAGGACCAGCGAGAATTGGAATGGAACTCTAGCTTTGCAACTAGTAAGCCGCTTGACCTTGGAGGGGTTAACTTCTCTGAGCCCTGGTTTCTTCTCTCTGACATGGGGATAACTCTTGCGTTGCAAGGCTTGGATTGATAGTGTATGTAACGCTCGGTGAAGAGTCTCAGTAAATATTTAGATAATGACCATTCCATTGCTAGTCTTATTGTTACCTAAAGAGTGTGAGTTTAACTACAACTGGCCGCTGCCAAGGGACTAACCATCTAAGCAATGAAAGAGCATTGTCACCAGGGGGCAGCAGAGCTCCAGCAGAATCTGCAGGGCCTCACTACGCCCACCTCAATTCTGGTCATGACCTTTGGGGGACCTCAAAAGTCTAATCAGCCTGGCTTTTGTGTGGTTTGATCATAGAAGGAAATTGCAGGCGCCTCTTACTTTAAGCAAAGCCAATCGTTTAAGAGCCCCAGACTTCTGGAATTAGATAAAGCTGGCTGCATGACTTTGAATAAGTCATTAACCTTTCTAAGCCTTTGTCTCCTCATCTTTAAAATATGTATAATGTCAGTAACCACACCGTGGTGACGTTATAAAAATTAAATGAGAACATGTAAAGTAAAGCACTGTGGGCAAACAGTAAGGATCAAAACACAATAAATAGTCATTTAAAATGAAGGCCAGGCACATTGGCTCAGGCCTGTAATCCCAGCACTGTGGTAGGCCAAGGCGGGAGGATCACTTGAGGTCAGGAGTTGGAGACCAGCCTGGCTAACATGATGAAACTTCATCTCAACTGAAAATACAAATATTAGCTGGGCATGGTGATGCATGCCTGTAATCCCAGCTACTCGGGAGGCTGAGGCAGGAGAATCACTTGAACCTGGGAGGTAGAGGTTGCAGGGAGCTGAGATCATGCCACTGCACTCCAGCCTGGGTGACAGAACAAGACTCTGTCCAAAAAAAAAACAAAAAAAAAAACCGATTAAGCACACAATGAAGTTTTTCACTAAAAATTTTTAAACTTTTTTTAAAAAGTACTTGATTATACCAAAAAACTTATTGGGACATGCAAGCAGAGATCTGTGTGGAAGGATGTTCACTGCAGTGTTGTTTATAATAGCAGAAAAATTGGAAAAATAGAAAGTTCAACAATAGGGCAAAACCAACCAAACAGAACTGGTTAAATAAGTTTAAGGGTTCTTGTATTAACAAATGCTGAGCAACCTTGACCTAATGTGAATAAACTTTGACATGAAGAGACAACAACAATATATTCTTGAATAAAAACCAAGTGTGCAAGCCAGCAAGTGTAGTACAACCCCATGTATGCAAAATTGCCTCATTCTACCATAAAGACACATGCATGTGCATGTTCACTGCAGCACTGTTCACAATAGCAAAGACACGGAATCAACCTAAATGCCCATCAATGACAGGCTGGATAAAAAAATATATGGTACCTATGCACCGTGGAATATTATGCAGTCATAAAAAAACGAGATCATGTCTTTTGTGGGAACATGGATAGAGCTGGAGGCCATCATCCTTAGCAAACTAGCACAGGAATATAAAACCAAATACTGCATGTTCTTATGCATAAGTGGAAGCTAAATGATAACATATGAACACAGAGAGGAACAGCAGACACTGGTGCCTACTTGAGGGGGGAGGGTCAGAGGAGGGAGAGGAGCAGAAAAGACAACTATTGGGTACTGAGCTTAATACCTGGGTGATGTAATAATATGTACAACAAACCCCTGTGACATGTGTTTATCTATGTAACAAACCTTTACATATAACCCCAGACCTAAAATAAAAATTAAAAGAAAAAAAACAAAATTGCGTCTGTGTGTATGTCTGTGTGTGTGCACCACATGTGCGTGTACATTCTCAGAGTTATGTGGGAGATCCATCCGATATAAACAGTGGTTACCTTTGGGCAGTGGGATTTGGAGGTAACTTTTAGCTTTATATTTTAAAAGAAAAATAAAAAGAGAGAAGTTGCAAGTATAGTACAATGAAGTCCTATACTCCCTTCAGTCAGATTCAGCATTGCCAACATTGTGCCACATTCGCTTTATCTATACCTACACCTATACCTATATCTCTCTATATACCTACACCTATACCTATCTCTCTATATACCTACACCTATACCTATCTCTCTATATACCTACAGCTATGCCCATGTCTACCTATCTGTATCTACCAATATGCCTATGCCAATACATATATCTACCTATATACCTATGCCTGTACCTATATCTACCTACATACCTACTCTTGTACCTATATTTACCTACATACATGTGCCAGTCCCTATATCTACCTACATACCTATGCCTGTACCTATATCTAACTACATACCTAGATCTATATCTATCTATATATGTATGCCTATAGCTCTATCTACCTACATACCTATGCCTATACCTATATCTACCTGTATACCTACACCTATACTTATATCTACCTATATACCTATAGCTATATCTATCTATATACCTACAACTATATCTATATCTATCTATATACCTACAACTATATCTATATCTACCTGTATACCTATGCCTATACCTATATCTACCTACATACCTATGCCTATATTTACCTGTATACCTACACCTATACTTATATATACCTATATACCTATAGCTATATCTATCTATATACCTACAACTGTATCTATATCTATGTGTATACCTATACCTATACGTATAACTACCTATGTACCTACACCTATACCTATATCTATCTATATACCTGTACCTATGTCTATATACCTATGCCCATACCCATATCTATTTATATACCTACGCATATACTTGTATCTACCTATCTACCTACACCTATATCTACATACATGTTATGATTGTTATTTTTGTGGAACCATTTTGAAAGCAAGTTGAAAACATCAAGAAGTTCTATCCCTTAGTTCTTCAGCGTGCATCTTCTAAGAGCAAGAACATTCTCCTCTTACATAATCACAGCACAGTTATTTTATTTCTATTATCTAACATGCATACAAATTTCACCAGTTATATATAAATGTGTGTGTGTGTGTGTACACATACAGCATCATCTTCACAACTTGAAAGCACCATACAAGTATTCCATTTGAGGAAAAGAACAAAATACAATTCAGATACTCGATGAGGTCTTTATTGTTGAAACAAATGTGAGCCAAAAGGCCACCATCAGGCTCTGCCCTGAACACTGCCCAGAAGAGCGGCTTCTCTCCCCTTCTTATGCTACCTGGGGTGGGGCAAATGGATCTCAGCTGGGAAGATTCTTCCTGGTTGACTCACTAGAGAAGCCCAAATGTCACTCCCACCCCCTCCAAACTCAGATAGGCATCAAAGAGAGGACCGCCTCATTCCTGCTTCCATCTCTGCAACCACTTGCCTCTGCAGGTCAAAGAAAAAGCCCTCGGGCAACTCGAGATTATGGACTAGAAATATTTCTCTTCCTCCTTTTTAAATTTATAATGTACCTTTGTGGGGAGATTGAGATAGGCTGTAGAAGAAAACTCCCAGTGTCTCCAATTCTTACCCAGGAGACCAAGAGTAAAGGTACTGTGACCACTATGGAGGTTGGTGTCTCATTATGTAGTAAAGTTCAATATATGCAGATTCTAGGACCCAGCACCTCCACTCCCAGATTTATTCCCTAGAGAAACTCAGGTGCATGTGTTCCAAAAGACGGAGATGGAGCCAAGACCGTTGCTCACACGTTATTTGCATGGTAGCTCCAAACTAGAAACAGCCCCAGCATCCATCAGCAGTAGAATGGAGAAAACAGTGGCATCTCCATACAATGAAATATACTCAGCAATGAAAATGGATGGCACAGCTACCCCGAACAACATGGAGAAATCTCACAGGTGGAATGTTGAGGGGAAGAAGCCAGACCCCCAAAACACATCAAGCACTGTTGCATTTATATAAAGTTCAAAAGCAAAAGAGGCCAAATTAAATTCTATTGCTTAAGGATCCTTATGTAGGGGGTAAAATTATAAAGAAAAGCAAGGAAATGATTGTCCCCAAATTCAGGGTAGTGGCTACTTGTGGGGAAGAGGAAGGCATACCTGGGGAGTTTGGGGGGCTGCTGTTTCGCATGCTGTGAATACTGATGTTCACTTTGTAAGTATTGGCTAAACCACATATATCCTATGCAGTTCTACATCACAGAGACAAAAAATATGTTATAAAATAAAAGGGCTAAAGTTCCCAAGAGTGATGGCTCTTGCAGCACCACGAGAAGGGTATTCAATGTAGGGGCTTTCACTCCAAGTGCCCAGCTATAAGAGACAGAACTTCCGGGTCTTTCAAGTTCATTCATGACAATATTCTTGAACTCCTGGGGAAAAAAAAGCACTGCAGAGAATCCCTAAATTTTCAAAAAGTTCAAATGAATTTCTCGTTTCTTGTCTTTGGGGTTGATTTGATGATGTTTAGTTTTCCTAATTATTCGGCTTGGGCTGACAAGGAATCTGTTGTTTTCATTAGTGTACCCAGAAGCTGCCAGAGGGTGAACACTGAGGGCCATTACTGAGAATGCACCAGGCCGGGCATGTTGGCTCACACCTGTAATCCTAACACTTTGGGAGGCTGAGGCAGGTGGATCACTTGAGGTCAGGGGTTCTAGACCAGCCTGGCCAACATGGTGAAACCTCGTCTCTACTAAAAATACAAAAACTTAGCCAGGCATGGCGGTGGGCGCCTTTAATCCCAGCTACTCGGGAAGTTGAAGCAGGAGAATCGCTTGAACCCAGGAAGCGGAGGTTGTAGTGAGCCAGGATTGTGCCATTGCACTCCAGACTGGGCAACAGAGCAAAAATTCTGTCTCAAAAAATGATAATAAAATAAATGCAGGGGGAATGCACCATGTGCAAGATCTCATGCTAAGTGTCGAGGCTGCATTGATGAGTAAGACAACTTTTGTCGGCCAGGCGCGATGGCTCACACCTGTAATCCCAGCACTTTGGGAGGCTGAGGTGGGCAGATCATGAGGTCAGGAGATTGAGAACATCCTGGCTAACACGATGAAACCCCGTCTCTACTAAAAATACAAAAAAAATTAGCCAGGCATGATGGCTGGCGCCTGTAGTCCCAGCTACACGGGAGGCTGAGGCAGGAGAATGGCTTGAACCTGGGACGTGGAGTTTGCAGTGAGCCGAGATCGTGCCACTGCACTCCAGCCTGGGCGACAGAGACTCTGTCTCAAAAAAAATAAAAAATAAAAAATAAAAGACAACTTTTGTCCTTGAAGTGCTTAAAATCTGAAAGGGAGACAAATCAGCAAGCAGGCATGATAACTCCTATGGGATGGAACAAGCTCAAGGGGCTGGAATATACTTCTTCAAAGAAGTGTTCCAGTGAGAACAGGGGGACAAGTAAGATCAATCCAGGGATAGAGAAAAAGTGAACCATCTTCCAGGTGATGAGGACGGACAAAGTTCCAGAGGTGGGGTTGCATGCCAGGAAGGGCATTGGATGAGGCTGGACCATGCAGCATGGGCTGTAATGAAAGAGTGAGATGTGAGATGAAGGCTGAGAAGGCAGGATCCAGAATGGGAAGTGCCCTAAAAGCTATGTTAGGAAGTTAATGCAAAGTCAATAGGGAGCCCTTGAAAGATATAGAGGAAGGGAATGCCAGATTGGTTGAGAAGGAGCAAGAGGGAGCAGTTAAAGGCTGTCGAGGGTGATTCAGATGAGAGCTGATAGTGGCCTGGTCTAAGGCCATGGGAGTAGACAGAGGACACAGAAAACAGCAAACAAAGCCAGCCTTGAACATAATTCTGATTTAGTAGCTAGAACAGATTGAGATGCTACATATTTATGGACTCTGGGGCTCTGCTGCTGGTCCACAGACCATACTTTGAGTAGGAGCAAGTTTCTAAATGACACCAGGCCAGGCTAGATCTAATTATCCTGAAGGTGTCCTGAATATAGGTAAATTAAGATCACATTCAGCCTCAATTTTCTCACCTGTAAAATGGGAGAACTAGCACAAATGTCTGTGGGGTTGCTGTGATGGTTAAACAAGGCCATTAGCACTTGAACAGTAGGTGCTCTGATATTTGTCTCCACAGCCGTCAGTGTCCAGCCCCTGGCTGCTTCTGGGGACACCAAGGGGAACAACAGATTCCTCATCTACCTTGGCTGAATAATTAGGAAAACAAAATGTCATTAAATCAACCTCAAAGACAAAGAATGGACAATTCGTTTGAGATTTTTGACAATTTGGGGCTTCTCTGCAGTGTTGTTTTCTTCTGGGAGTGCAGGTATGCTATCAGGGAGGCTCCACGTTGATCTGAGTCAGCTCCGAGCTCAGAGCCGCACAGGCTCCTCTAAATTGGCCACTGGGCTTCTCAAGGTCCTCCCCCGGGCACTCTGTGACCCAGTTGTCCTTGCTGTGCAGGACTTGTGCATGGGGCTAAGGGGGAAGGGGCGTCCTGATAACCCTCTCACCCAGAGTTTTTTAAAAATCACATTTATTAGCTTTGATCTTATTTTTGTGTTAGAAAGAAAAAGAACGCCTTTTTGATAAAATCAGTATGTGAATTACTGGCATTAATCAAACCCCTATTAAGCACTCTGTTTTGCATTTCTTATCTCTTTTAATCATTCCAAATCCTTCAGAGGAAGTCCCTGCTTTTCTCATCTCATTTTACAGATGAACAAATCGAAGCTTAGAAGATGACCTTGCGAGGCCGGGCGTGGTGGCTCACTCTTTTACTCCTAGCAATTTGGGAGGCCTAGGCAGGTAAATCACTTGGGCTCAGGAGTTCGCGACCAGCCAGGGAAACATGGCAAGATCCCATCTCTACAAAACATACAAAAATTAGTCGGGCATGGTGGCATGTGCCTGTGGTTCCAGCTACTTGGGGGTCTGAGGCAGGACTTTGCTGTATGTCTTTGTGTAGATTTTTTTTTAAAATTCATTTGGAGGCCAGGCGCGGTGGCTCACGCCTGTAATCCCAGCACTTTGGGAGGCTGAGGCGGGTGGATCATGAGATCAGGAGTTCAAGACCAGCCTGGCCAAGATGGTGAAACCCTGTCTCTACTAAAAATATGAAAATTAGCCAGGCGTGGTAGCAGGTGCCTGTAATCCCAGCTACTTGGGAGACTGAGGCAGAGAATTGCTTGAACCTGGGAGGCGGAGGTTGCAGTGAGCTGAGATCACACCACTGCACTCCAGCCTGGGCGACAGAGCAAGACTCTATCTCAAAAAAAAATTCATTTGGAAGCATACCGTGAATTCAGCTTACTGACTATTAAGTGCTTAGTATGACATAAAAGTAGCTCATTCTTACTGTTTTTTTTTTTTTTAACTTTCCAATTCAAAGAACACACAAATACATGAAATACATGCAGGTGAAAGAGAAAACTCACTTTTTTTGTTGTTGTTGTTGGAGTCATGGTCCTTTGCCCAGGCTGGAGTGTAGTGGCGGGATCTAGGCTCACTGCAGCCTCTGCCTCCCAGGTTCCAGTGATTCTCCTGCCTCAGCCTCCTGGGTAGCTGGGATTACAGGCACCCACCACCACACCTAGCTAATTTTTTTTTTTTTTTTGTATTTGTAGTAGAGACAGGGTTTCGCCATGTTGGCCAGGCTGGTCTCGAACTCCTGACCTCAGGTGATCCACCCTCCTTGGCCTCCCAAAGTGCTGAGATTACAGGCGTGAGCCACCGCTCTTGGTCAAGAAAACTCACTTCTAATCCCTTTGCCTAAATGTCTTCTCTGGCTACCCACCTATACCTTGCTCACTATTTGCCAAACAGGTATTTACACCTCTTCTGTGCCAGGCCCTGGGGTTTGCTTTGGGATCAAAGATGGATAAAAAAGATTACAAAGACAAAGTTTTTTTTTTTTTTTTGAGATGGAGTCTCGCTCCGTCACCCAGGCTGGTGTGCAGTGGCACGATGTCGGCTCACTGCAACCTCTGCCTCCCAGGTTCAAGTGATTCTTGTGCCTCAGCCTTTCTAGTACCTGGAATTACAGGTGCGCACCACCATACCTGGTTAATTTTTGTATATTTAGTAGAGATGGGTTTTCGCCATGTTGGCCAGGCTGGTCTCGAACTCCTGACCTCAAGTGATCTGCCCACCTCAGCCTCCCAGAGTGCTGGGATTACTGACATAAGCCACCAAGTGCTCATCTCTCAGAAACAAAGGCTTTACCTTCAGGGCCTTCTCCCAGTCTAGCCAAAGCAGGGAGGGTTTAGCCAGGGCCACAAAATGACCTGAAACCCAGAGAGATAGAAAGGATACAGTAAAACTAACGTTCTTTGCCATGTTATAGAGAGGAGGGAACCCACTAGTGGATCCAGGTTTCTGGAGAAGGTGAAAGGTGAATACAGTTTTTGCAGGAATGAAGGAGAAACACATAAACCAACTCCAGAATCAATAAATTGGCCAGGTGCAGTGGCTGCACCTGTAATCCCAGCACTTTGGGAGGCCGAGGTGGGAGGATCACCTGAGGTCAGGAGTTCAAGACTAGCCTGGCCAACGTGGTGAAACCCCGTCTCTATTAAAAATATAAAACTTGGCTGGGAGTGGTGGCTCGCCTGTAGTCCCAGCTACTCGGGATTCTGAGGCATGAGAATCTCTTGAACCTGGGAGGCAGAGTTTGCAATGAGCTGAGATCATGCCTCTGCACTGTAGCCTGGGTGACAGATTAGAGTCCATCCCAAAAAAAAAAAAAAAAAAAGAATCAATCAATTATTCCTACATTCTGGCAAAGTATATTTGGGTCCTACCCTGCATCTTAGGAATGAGAAATTAGCAAAGAACAGTGGTTCTCATGTTTTTAGGAGGAGGATTTTGCCCCCAGCAGACACCTGGCATTGTCTGGAGATATTTTTTGTTGTCACACATGAGGGTGATGCTACTGCTGGCATCTACCTACTGGTAGAGACCAAGGATGCTGCTAAACATTCTACACAGGACAGCCCCCTACCATGCAGGATTATCTGGTACAAAATGCCAGTAGTGGCCACACTGAGAAACCTTGGCCTAGATGGGTAAGTTAGGAGGTGAAGAGGCACTCCGGAAGTCACATTCCTGGGATGAGATTCAGATCAACTAAAGCATCTTGGAAAAATCTCTCCACCTCTCTAAGTCTCAGTTTTCTTCCCTGTATAATGGGGAGATATAATTATATTACCTACCTCATCAGTTTGTGAGAAGGATAAATTAAATGAAGAAGCACTTACACAGTACCTGGCACATAGTAGGCTCTGGATCAATGTAAGGGAGTGAAAAAAGAAAAAAAAAAGCCAGGCACAGTGGCTCACGCCTGTAATCCCAGCACTTTGGGAGGCTGAGGTGGGCGGATCACAAGGTCAGATGGAGACCATCCTGGCTAACACGGTGAAACCCTGTCTCTACTAAAAATACAAAAAATTAGCTGGGCGTGGTGGCGGGTGCCTGTAGTCCCAGCTACTCGGGAGGCTGAGGCAGGAGAATGGCGTGAACCTGGGAGGCAGAGGTTGCAGTGAGCCGAGATCTTGCCACGGCACTCCAGCCTGGGCAACAGAGCAAGACTCCATCTGAAAAAAAAAAAAAAAGTGGAAGTAAGGCTGGGTGCAGTGGCTGATGCCTGTAGTCCCAGCATTTTGAGAGGCCAAGGCAGGTGGATGGCTTGAGTCCAGGAGTTCAAGAGGAGCCTGGGCAACATGGCAAAACTCCATCCCTAAAAATATACAAAAATTAGCCAAATACATGAAAAATAATATATAAAACAAGCTAGGGACGGTGGCTCACTTCTGTAATCCCAATGCTTTGGGAGGTCATGGCGGGCAGATCACTTGAGGTCAGGAGTTCAAGACCAGCCTGGCCAACATGGTGAAACCCCGTCTCTACTAAAAATACAAAAATTATCCGGGCCTGGTGGTGCACACCTGTAATCCCAGCTACACGGGAGGCTGAAGCAGGAGAATGGCTTGAACCCAGGAGGCGGAGGTTACAGTGAGCCTAGATTGTGCCACCGCACTCCAGCCTGGGCAACGGAGTGAGACTCCATCTCAAAAAATATATATCTCAAAAAAAATGTGTGTATATATATATATAATATATATATATTATATATATATAATATATATATTATATAAATATAATATATATATTATATATATATAATATATATATTATTTTATATATATATAATATATTATATAATATATATATATATAATATATATATAATATATATATATTATATAATATATATATAAATATAATATATAATATATAATATATATATGTCAAACATAAAGTAATCTCTAAAGAGTCTTACTTAACAAAAACTCTTTTAGCCACAGCTGAAGAAATCAGTCCTGGAATAATTCAGTCTCTCTCTGATGCTTGCTTTTCTTTCTTTCTTTCTTTCTTTCTTTCTCTTTCTTTCTCTTTCTTTCTTTCTTTCTTTCTTTCTTTCTTTCTTTCTTTCTTTCTTTTTTCCTTCCTTCTTTCTTTTTTTCTTTCTTTCCTTCCTTCCTTCCTTCCCTCCTTCCTTCCTTCCTTTCTTCTTTCTTTCTTTCTTTCTTTCTTTTCTTTCTCTCTCTTTCTCTCTCTCTCTTTCTTTCTTTTTTTCCTCTCTCTCTCTCACACACACACACTCTCACACACACTCACACACACACAGAGAAATTTGTATGGCTGCTCCAAATTTATTTCCAAGAAAAATACGGAGTTATACCTCTGTGGATTTTCTTTCCTGGGCACTGAATTCATGGCGTATCTACTCAAGTTTTGGTCACGGTGAAATTAACTGCATTGCCCTTTAAGAAAAAAATCTAGGCGTTCCTGGTGGGTGCGCACATGGCAGTGTACAGGGACACAGAAGTGGGCATCCACATTTCCAAAATAAACTACTTCTAGGTGGTTCTGAACTTGTATCCATCTGATGCAAGCCAACAATCAGTGCACATGAATTACCAGGGACCTCATCCTTCCAGCCTCCCCAGTCTCTCCGGAATCTCTGGGGACGTGCCAATGCCCGTGAGGCCTAGTGAAAACACTGCAGTCCTTGAATTCACCGTCATCCAAGAACAGCTTGAGACCTGTTTACTTCAGAACCAGCAAAAGGTGAACAGGTCTTTCCTGAAAGTCCTGGTTTCTAGCAGAAGATTTTAAATATAGGACAGTTGAAGGGGAGGGGTCACACAGAGGACTGGGGACCAGGAGTTGGAACTCATCAGCTTGTAAAAAGTTCTAGGGTTTGTGACCTTGGTGCCCTTAGGCATATTCCTTAACCTTTCTGAACATCAGCATCTTCCTCTATTCAAAAGGGCCCATTGCCAGGCTCATGCCTGTAATCCCAGCACTTTGGGAGGCCAAGGTGGGAGGATTGCTTGAGCCCAGTAGTTCAAGACCAGCTTGGGCAACATAGTGAGACTCTGTCTCTCCAAAAAAAAAAAAAAAAAATTTAAAGGGCCCATTGCCAGGCACGGTGGCTCACACCTGTAATCCCAGCATTTAGGGAGGCAGATGCAGGAGGATAGCTTTAGCCCAGGAGTTAAAGTCCTGCTTCAGCAACATAGTAAGACCTCATTCTCCATAAAAAGAAACAAACAAAAAGACAAAAGGGCCCATTGCCTGTCAGCCCTGGCAGGCTGCTGTGAAAGTCAAGAGAGACAGAGGAAGCAAGACAGTTCTGGAAAATGCTCAGCGCTGTGTAAGAGGTGTTCACTGTTGCACCCTGAGTGTGCCCAGACTGTCTTGAAACTTTCACCCACTCTGCCTTCTGGGCAGGCAGTTCAGGCTCCTCAGAGGTGTCTCCTTATCCGCTGGAATGCAGGAAACACCCAAAATAGAGAGCTGAGGCGTGTCTTCACTAGCTCAGCTCAACCGGCTTTTGAGGTTTGCAAAGCAAGATGAGTGCTGGGTTCTATCTTGATTGTGCCTTTGAGAGGGTTGGTCAGAGGTAAGATTAGCTATCTGGTGTCCTCTGTTCGTATGCACACACTGAAAACCCAGAGGGCAACCAAGCCAGATAGCGAGTGGCAGCACCCACAAAAATGTGTGTCCAGAAAGAAATCAAGAGGGACCAGAAGAAAAGGCAGACTCAGGTCATTTTCCAAGGGGCTCACAGTCCTGAGGGCTGGAGCCATGAGAGTCCAAGGGGGTCTGGCATCCCAAACAGGATGCTGTTTCTCAGGGAAGGAATGGTGTTAAGGAATCAACGCTGGGGGTTAATCCAAGCCGGGCCTCCCGGGAGAGCCATCTTGTGGCCACTCGAGTATGTGACTGTTCGATTATCTTCCCTTTTTTCTTATTCGAAGAGAAAGCTTTTCCCAATCCTAAATGAAACTGGATGTAATCATTGTTGAGTGGGTCAGAAGTGTTTTAGAAATTGACAAAGGGAGACCAGGTGCGGTGGCTGACGCCGGTAATCCCAGCACTGTGGGAGGCTGAGGTGGGTGGATTACCTGAGGTCAGGAGTTCGAGACCAGCCTGACCAACACGGTGAAACCCCGTCTCTACTAAAAATACAAAAAAGTTAGTCGGATGTGGTGGTGGGCACCTGTAATCCCAGCTAATCGGGAGGCTGAGGCAGGAGAATCGCTTGAACCTGGGAGGTGGAGGTTGCAGTGAGCCGAGATCATGCCATTGCACTCCAGCCTGGGCGACAGAGCAAGAGTCTGTCTCAGAAAAAGCAAGCAAGCAAGAGAAAGAGAGGAAGGAAGGAAGGAGGGAAGGAAGGAAAGAAGGAAGGAAGGAAGGAAGGAAGGAAGGAAGGAAGGAAGGGAAGAAATTGGCAAAGGGGAGAGAGAGCTGCAGGCCTGCAAATCTTACCAGGCTGATCGAGGTAATGCTAGCTCTCTAACTAGTTGGACATGTCACTTATTCTCTAACAACAACAACAAATGAAGAGTCATAATACCTTCATTTTGTGCAGAAACTGTGTGCAACTTGGCCGGGTGCAGTGACTTATGCCTGTAATCCCAGCACTTTGGGAGGCCAAGGCAGGTAGATCAACTGAGGTCAGGAGTTCGAGACAAGCCTGGCCAACATGGTGAAACCCCATCTCTACCAAAAATACAAAAATGAGCCGGGCGTGTTGGCGTGCGCCTGTAGTCCCAGCTACTCTGGAGGCTGAGGCAGGAGAATCACTTGAACCTGAGTGGCAGAGGTCTCAGTGAGCCGAGACCATGCCACTGCACTCCTGCCTGGGCTACAGAGACTTCATCTCAAAAAACACACAAACAAACAACAACAAAAAACCTATGTGCAACACACTGAGCTTTAAATATATTTTATCACTTCATCCTCATCGAAACTTCTGACTATAATCTCATTTTAGAGGTGAGGAAAGTGGACTCCCAGCTGGAGATTGTGGGTGGCCATTATAGGTTACTAAGTAGAAGAGGGGGAGAAAAAGAAAAGGAAATTGGAATGGCGTTTTGAGTTTTGGTGTATTTTTTGTGTTTTGTTTGTTTGTTCTTTGTTTTGTGTGTGTGTGTGTTTTTTTTTTAGGCGGGATCTCACTCTGTCACCAGGCTGGAGTGCAGTGGCGCGATCTCAGATTACTGCAACCTCCAGCTCCCAGATTCAAGCAATTCCCCTGCCTCAGCCTCCTGAGTAGCTGGGACTATAGGTGCACGTCACCATGCCTGGCAAATTTTTTTTTTCTTTTGCATTTTAGTAGAGATGGGATTTCACCATGTTGGCCAAGATGGTCTTGATCTCCTGACCTCGTGATCTGCCCGCCTCGGCCTCCCAATGCTGGGATTACAGGCGTGAGCCACTGTGTACTGCCAGAATGGAGTTTCTAGGAGATGAATTTGGACTTGAAAGGAAGAGAAGACATCCAGGGTTGGCTACGTTTTATCTGGTAAATGTCCCTGCAACTCCTCTGGGAATAGAGTACCCATCTTAGAGATAAAGAAACTGAGATTCAAGCTGAAAGGTTAAGTGTATTGCCTGTGGTTATAAAATCAGGGTTAGCAAGAAAGTCTTGACTTTGGGGAGCAGGAATCAAACAATACAATTTAAATAGCTAATCTATCTAATCTCAGGAGGCCTGATAGGGGCTTTTGGAGTCAGGAACTGCATAAATAAATCCAGGTGTCCTCCTCTGATCTCCATACAAACAAATGGGATTAGCACATCAAAGGTTTGGTTCTTTGTACTGTAAGTAGCGCTACCCTGAGGTGGGCTGTGGGCCAGCTGGAAGATGCAGGAATTCAGAAACTGTTAATTCACCAATTTCTTGGGCTTCCTTCCTTAACTAGCTGTGTGACCTAGGACAAGCTAACTAACCTTGCTGTACCTTCGTTCTCTCATCTATAAAATGGGTGTCATTATAATGGCAACCTCATAAACTGGTTTGAGGATAAAATTGAAATAACATCAATATTTATGATGACACTTACTATGTGCCAAACAGCATTCCAACTTCATTTGTTACATTAACTGAAATCTCACAACCAGCATGTATTAAATGGGTTCTTATATAAGGGAGTGAACTATTATTTAATGATTAAAATGATAAATGTAAAATCTATCAAGCAACATGGGGAATGTATTATACTGAGTAATAATAATAATAAAATAATAAGTGAAGGTGGGTGCAGTGGCTCACGCCTCTATTCCCAGCCCTTTGGGAGGCCGAGGCAGGTGGATCACTTGAGGTTGGGAGTTCGAGACCAGCCTGGCCAACAGGGCAAAACCCCATCTCTACAAAAAATAGCTGCTGTGGTGGCACTCATCTGTAATCCCAGCTACTTGGGAGGCTGAGGCAGGAGAATCACTTGAACCCAGGAGGTGGAGGCTGCAGTGAGCCAAGATTGTGCCACTGCACTCCAGCCTGGGTGACAGAGCGAGACTCTGTCTCAATAATAATAATAATAAGTGAATTTCAAAATGCTATCTTCTTTAGGACAATGGCTCTTTTTAAATTCCTGAATACAAGGACAGGAAGAGAAAGTGGAAAAGGGAACCCCAAATTATTGGTGGAATTGTGCCTGGTCTACATGTTGTTAGTTTCTGTTATGAAATTGTCTTTGCAAGAAATGAAATATATTTATACATAAATGTATAAGAGCAGTTTATTGGGTCTGATTGATAGGAAGACCTGTTATTCTCCTCCCAGGAAAATGCACACACCCAATAGGTAGGTGGCCTCCCATTATTCAGAATTCCTAGACCTACTCCCCTCCTAAATCCCATCCATTGATCCCTGGGGCCCACAGGATAGGAGCTTTCATTTAAGAATGTATCTCTCTCTCTCTCTTTCTTTCCTTCTCTCTTTCTTTCTTTCCTTCTCTCTTTCTTTCTTTCTTTTCTTTCCTTTCCTTCCTTCTCTTTCTTTCTTTCTTTCTTTCTTTCTTTCTTTCTTTCTTTCTTTCTCTTTCTTTCTCTTTCTTTCTTTCTTTCTTTCTTTCTTTCTTTCTTTCTTTCTTTCTTTCTTTCTTTCTTTCCTTCCTTCCTTCCTTCCTTCCTTCCTTCCTTTTCTTCCCTTCCTTTCTTTCTTTCTTTCTTTCTATCTTTCTTTCTTTCTTTCTTTCTTTCCTTCCTTCCTTCCTTCCTTCCTTCCTTCCTTCCTTTTCTTCCCTTTCTTTCTCTCTTTTTTCTTTTTCTCTCTCCCTTCCTTCCTTCCTTCCTTCCTCTCTTTCTTTCTTTTTTTTTTTTGACAAAATCTCACTCTGTTGCCCAGGTTGCAGTGCAGTAGTGCGATCTCAACTCACTGCAACCTCCACCTCCCAGGTTCAAGAGATTCTCCTGCCTCAGCCTCCTGAGTAGCTGGGACTACGGACGCGTGCCACCACACCCGGCTAATTTTTGCATTTTTATTTGAGACGGGGTTTTGCCATGTTGGCCAGGCTAGTCTCAAACTTCTGAGCTCAGGTGATCTGCCTGCCTGGGCCTCCCAAAGTCCTGGGGTTACAGGCATGAGCCACTGTGCCTGGCCTTCTTTCTTTTTGTTTCTATTTTCTTTTCTCTCTTTTTTTCCCTTCCCTCCATCCCTCCCTTCCTCCTTTCTCTCTCTCTCTCTTTCCTCTCTCTCTCTTTCCTCTCTCTCTCTTTCGCATCTACTGTGTGTGAGACACACAGTGGGCCAAGTAGTGAGGACACAATTGTGAGATGTTATAATGTCACCTGCTGGCTCTCCCACGTTATCTACTCCTTGGTATACTCCCCCTTTTAATCTATTTATGGCCTTACTTTGTGAAAATAGTAATAGACAGAAAAATAACTAACATCCAGGGGAGATGTTGCTGATTACAAGGGATTTTCTCACACATAACCTGATGGTAAGCCTTTGGCCACTGTGTAAGTAGATATTACTGTTATCTTGGTTTAACAAAAGAGAACACGAACACTCAAAGAAGATGGAATAAATGACGGGTTTATCTGTAAGCGATGGAGACAAAATTCTGAACACAGGGGTTTTTGACTGCAGAGATCACAGGAGAACTTATCATCTGGTGGATAAGGCAAGAGTTTGAACTCAGATTCTGGCAGGTGCTGTGTGATCTTAAGGGAGCTACTTTAACTCTCTGAGCCTGTATTTTCCTCTAAAAATGAGTAGTAGGAATAACATCAGTTTGATAATAAAAACAGCAGAAACAACAGGAAGAAGAATATTAACTGCGAGCATGGCTGAGTGTGTTTTTGGCGCCAGCACTGTGCAATCTAGACGGGTTTCCTTTCATCTTCACAACAGCACTATGAGGTGGCACAATTGTCATTCCTCTGTATCAAATGTGGATGGCAAGGACTTTGGCACAATCTGAGGAACAGAGGAAGTGCTCAAGATGGGACAGCAAAATTAAAGGAGAAAAAAACTCACTTCTTTGATTTTTTTTTTTCATCAGTAGGGAAAGTTCGTGTTGAATCTTTGACAATTCCTCCTCCAGGCTCCTGGACCTAAAGCCCCATTGTCTTAAAAGGTTTTCAACTAGTGAATCATCCTTTGTCTTGAGCTAGGTGTCATTTTGCATATCTACAACAAGGGCCAGTCTAACTGCTGGGTGCAAGAGACACCTTTTTTCAGATGACCCAAGGAAGGGAGGATTGCCACATTAAAAGTAATGCTTACATATGGACAAAATGTAACTTGATGTCAGCTCAGTGGAATGGCTCATGCTTTTAATCCCAGCACTTTGGGAGGCTGAGGCAGGAGGATTACTTGAGCTCAGGAGTTCAAGACCAGCCTGAGCAATGTAGCAAGACCCCTGTCACTATAAAAAGTAAAAATAAAAAATAAAAGAATTAACTGAGCATGGTGGTTCATGCCTGTAGTCCCAGCTACTCAGGAGGCCGAAAGGGGAGGATCACTTGAGCCTTGGTAGCACCACTGCACTCTAGCCTCAGTGACAGAACAAGACCCTGTCTCAAAGAACAACAACAACAAAACATTATGTCGACAATTGAGCTATTTTAAATATATAAAATTGTATTTATTATGTAATGTGGGTGCATTTTAAGATGTAGGTAAGGGGTCTCCCCAAAATAAGAATGTTTGGGACCTATAAGATCCTTACAAAAAATGTCTTTGTCCAAAATTATAATAATTGTTGGCCGGGCGCAGTGGCTCATGCCTGCAATCCCAGCACTTTGGAAAGCCAAGGCAGCCAGATCACTTGAGGCCAGGAGTTCGAGACCAGCCTAGCCAACATGGCGAAACCCCATCTCTACTAAAAAAGCCAGGCGTGGTGGCACATGCCTGTGATTCCAGCTACTCAGGAGGCTGAGGCAGGAGAATCGCTTGAAACCTGGGAGGTGGAGGTTGTAGTGAGCCGAGATCATGCCACTGCACTCCAGCCTGGGTGACAGAGCAAGACTCTGCCAAAAAAAAAAAAAAGGAAAAAGAATAAAAAGAAAAAAGGCCTGGCGTGGCTCATGCCTGTAATCCCGGCACTTTGGGAGGCCGAGGTAGGCGGATCACGAGGTCAGGAGATCCACACCATCCTGGCCAACATGGTGAAACCCCGTCTCTACTAAAATACAAAAAATTAGCCGGCTGTCGTGGCACATGCCTGTAATCCCAGCTACTCAGGAGGCTGAGGCAGGGGAATTGCTTGAACCTGGGAGGCGGAGGTTGCAGTGAGCTGAGATCGCACCACTGCACTCCAGCCTGGCAACAGAGCAAGACACCATCTCAAAATAATAATAATCATCATAATAATTGTTGAAACTGCATAATAGGAAGGGAGGGGTTCATTACGTTTGGATGCATTTCAAATTTTTCAGAACATATATTTTCAAAGACCATTATCCCCCCAAATTCCATTTCTTCACCTTTTTCATCCTTCTAAAGCACCTTTTGCTTAGGTGGAGTTTGCAGAATTCCAACAAGTTCATTCCTCAGATCACTAGATCTTGAGGTAGTTTGAGATCTCTGAGACAACAAGAAGAATGAATAAACAAATGTTTGTTTTCTCCTCTTAAAATTCCCGAAGGCAAGAGGCAGTAAATGAATAAATTAGGACATCTTTGGTGGACCTGACCCCAGAAGCAGCTGCTGGCCCCAGCAGCCTCCTGCCCCCAGCAGCCTCCTGCCTTTGTTTTTCTAAGGCTCTGGGGCTATTGTCCCCAGTCAGTGGAAAAAACATCACACCCATTTTCAAAAAGAGATGGTTGAGCCGGGCGAGGTGGCTCACGCCTGTTATCCCAGCACCTTGGGAGGCCGAGGAGGGAGGATCACCTGAGGTCAGGAGTTTGAGACCAGCCTCAACATGGAGAAACTCCTTCTCTACTAAAAATACAAAATTAGCCGGGCATGGTGGTGCATGCCTGTAATTCCAGCTACTCGGGAGGCTGAGGCAGGAGAATTGCTTCAACCTGGGAGGCAGAGGTTGCGGTGAGCCAAGATTGCGCCATTGCACTCCAGCCTGGGCACCAAGAGCGAAACTCCGTCTCAAAAAAAAGAGAGAGAGAGACATTTCAATGTCTATGGAGAGTCTCCCTTCTCAGGCTGAGGTTCCCCGACCCAGTGGCATCTAGCTGTCCTCACGAAGACAAGAAATCATTAGCCCTAATTAAGTCCTCCCTAGCAGGCTGCCTGGGATCCAGTAGGCAAGTCTTCATTCCTTCCCTCTTTACTAGGAAAAAGGGAGGAAAGGAGACAGGTCTCTTCAGATATCATCCTTCAGGGTGGGTGCTAGTATGAATCTGTGAAGATCAGTTTGGTGAAATGTATCGTAAACCTCAAACGTGCCTCCTACTCTTTTCTCTCTTGGAATGTATCCTGGGGGAATCCATAACATGGGAGGAGACTAAGGTGAATGAACAATGGTTTAAAGAGCAAAAACATTGCCTATTAAATAGCAAATGAAATGTCTATTTGTATGGACAATAGAAATACCTATTTGTAGAACGGCGATAGAACCATAACGTGCCATATTTTGCCAAATTTTGCAAGTATTAAAATGGGGAAGGGGTAGGGCAGGTGGCCCATGCCTGTAATCCCAGCACTTTGGGAGACCAAGGCAGGAGGATCACTTGAGCCCAGAAGTTCAAGATAAACCTGGGCAACACAGAGAGACCCCATCTCTACAAAAAAAATTAAAAAATTAGTTGGGCTTCGTAGCACACACCTGTAGTCCCAGCTACTCGGGAGGCTGAGAGGGAAGATCACTTAAGCCAGGGAGGAGGAGGCTGCAGTGAGTTGTGATCACACCACTGCACTCTAGCGTGGGTGACAGAGTGGGACCCTGTCTCAAAAATAAAATGGCGAAGATATGGACAAGAAACAAAATGTTCTTAATATTGTAAAGAAACAATTCAATTACAAAACAATGTATTTATTTATTTATTTATTTTTATTTATTTTATTTATTTTTTGAGGCAGAGTCTCATTCTGTCACCCAGGCTGGAGTGCAGTGGCATGATCTTGGCTCACTGCAACCTTCACCACCTGGGTTCAATAAGTTCTCCTGCCTCAGCCTCCCAAGTATCTGGGATTATAGGCATGCACCGCCACACCCAGCTAATTTCTTTGTCTTTTTAGTAGAGACAGGATTTCACCATGTTGGCCAAGCTGGTCTCAAACTCCTGACCTCAAATGAGCCACCCACCTCAGCCTCACAAAGTGCTGGGATTACAGGTGAGAGCCACGTGCCCTGTCAAGACAATTATTTTTATTAAAAATAAAATATGCAGACATGTGCGGCTGCTCACGCCTGTAATCCCAGCACTCTGGGAGGCCATGGCGGGTGGATCACAAGGCCAGGAGTTCAGTACCAGCCTGGCCAATATAGTGAAACCCATTCTCTACTAAAAATACAAAAAAATTAGCCAGGCGTGGTGGCGGGTGCCTGTAGTCCCAGCTACTCAGGAGGCTGAGGCAGGAGAATAGCTTGAACCCAGGAGGCGGAGGTTGCAGTGAGCCGAGATCATGCCACGGCACTCCAGCCTGGGTGACAGAGGGAGACTCTGTCTCAAAAAAAAAAAAAAAAATTGCTATGTCCATACTAAGCGCCCTCTTGCATATTATTTTATTAATTAAAAATTCCTTTATGTCTGGGCCCGGTGGCTCATGCCTGTAATCCCAGCACTATGGGAGGCTGAGGCGGGAGGATCATGAGGTCAGGAGATCGAGACCATCCTGGCTAACACAGTGAAACCCCGTCTCTACTAAAAATACAAAAAAATTAGCCGGGCATGGTGGCGGGCGCCTGTAGTCCCAGCTACTGGGGAGGCTGAGGCAGGAGAATGGCATGAACCTGGGAGGTGGAACTTGCAGTGAGCCTAGATTGCGCCACTGAACCTCCAGCCTGGGCGACAGAACAAGACTCCGTCTCAAAAAAAAAAAAAAATTCCTTTATTTTTAAATTTTTAAAAAATAAATGAGTTCTAATGGCATTTTAAAGATAATAGCAGCAAAGCTATTGGGAAGGGGATCAGAGATCTCCAACTTGGGCTTTCCTACTGGTTGTCTATTTCTTTTTTTTTTTTTTTTTTGAGACGGAGTCTCGCTCTGTCGCCCAGGCTGGAGTGCAGTGGCGCGATCTCGGCTCACTGCAAGCTCTGCCTCCCGGGTTCACACCATTCTCCTGCCTCAGCCTCCCGAGTTAGCTGGGACTACAGGTGCCCCCCACCGCACCTGGCTAATTTTTTGTATTTTTAGTAGAGACGGGGTTTCACTGTGTTAGCCAGGATGGTCTTGATCTCCTGACCTCATGATCCACCCGCCTCGGCCTCCCAAAGTCCTGAGATTACAGGCGTGAGCCACCGCGCCCGGCCCTGGTTGTCTATTTCTTTTAGATGTCCCCTCCAGTGTCATCTCTTAGGTTCCCTTCTTAAGCCCTTCTGTCTAAACTGGGCCCTCCCTGGCACTGTCTCTCAGCCTGTTTATTTTATTTTCTGCATAGCACTTACCATAATCTGTATTTATCACGTGCATTTTTTAGTTGAATTTTTCTCTTCCTATCCCCGTGTCCTAGAATTCGAGTAGTGACCTTCACTGTCTTTGTTCGTGGCTGCAAGTACCAGGCAACTTTGTGAAATGTTTCGTATAATGAACAGTAGTTTATTAAATATTATAGAAGAAATAAATATGTGAATGACCAAGTTAGTGAATGAGTAAATGACTGAATGACTGAGTTCATGAATGAACGGATGAGTGAGTGAAATCTGGCTTTAGAGAGCGAGACTTTTCTTTGCCCATGGCTCAGGATACACAGTGACAGCTGGCACACGACAGACAAACGGGTCTCCTAAGAGTCTGGAAGCCAGGCCCAGTCCCTCTACTCTTACATCTGACCCTGCTCAAGGTTCCAGCCATGTGGACGGAAGTGGATCTCCGTTCCCAGGGAAGGGACCTTTCATATGTGAATATTCTCATGAGTGTTTGGCCCACATGATTTTCTTTTGCTTGCACAACACTTTGGGATTGGTATTATCATCCCTGTTTTAATTGATGAGGAAACTGAGACCCAGAAGGGTGAAATGTTTCGGCCCAGTTCACAGAATTAGCAAATGCACCCCAGACCTGGCCCGCCAGAGGGAGGGAGAAGCAGCACGTTCCCAACCTTTACCCCATCAGATTCTCACAATAGGACTTTCACTCTCCAGCCATATTTTAAAGTTTTGGGGAAGGGAAGAGAGGCAATGAGAAACCAAGAGAGAAAACCCTCAGAGGAGCAGCCACCAGGAGAGATCTCTGCAATCACAGTCTAGTAAATTCTCAGTACAGATTTGCTTGAATAAGAAAATGAATGGGCTGGGTGCGGTGGCTCACGCCTGCAATCCCAGCACTTTGGAAGGCCGAGGCAGGCTGATCGCTTGACGCCAGGAGTTCAGGACCGGCCTGGGTGACATGGCACAACTCCATTTCTATAAAAAATACAGAAATTAGCCAGGTGATGGGGTGTGTGCCTGTAGTCCCAGCTACTCAGAGGCTGAGAGGTAGGAGAATTGCCTGAGCCTAGAAGGGTGAGGCTGCAGTGAGCTGTGATTGCACCACTGCACTTCAACCTGGATGACAGAGCAAGATCTTGTCGCAGAAAAGTGAATGAATGGATGGGACATAGTGAAGTGATTAGAAGCACACACTCATGTGTGGGGCCTGGATTCAAACTCCGTCTTTCCCACTTCTCTGTTGTGTGAGAATAGGCAAATGACTTTAATTTGTCGAGTCTCGGTTTCTTCATCTGAAGAATGAGAATAAAAGGGTTGCTGTAATAATTAATTGCTATAATGTCCATTAGCACTTAGTATGATATCTGGCATAAGGCAATATCTATAATACAGTAGTTCCCAGTCAATGAAAGTCAATTATTTTAATTATTTTATTTAAATTGGAGGCTGGGCCAGGTGTGGTAGCTCACGCCTGTAATCCCAGCAATTTGAGAGGCCAAGATGGGAGATAGCTTGAGGCCAGGAGTTCGAGACCAGTCTAGGCAACATAGTGAGATCCCCATCTCTGCAAAACAACAACAAAAAAAAAATTAGAAAAAATTACCTGGGCGTGATGATGTGCACCTGTAGTCCCAGCTACTTGGGAGGCTGAGGCAGGAAGATTACTTGTGCCCAGGTTCAAGTGAGGCTTCAGTGAGCTACGATTGTGCCACTGCACTCCAGCCTGGGAAACAGAGCAAGACCCTGTCTCTGAAATAAATAAATAAATAAATAAATAAACAAATAAATAAATAAATTGGAGGCCATTTGTTGAAGATTAAATTATGTAGAGAACTTCGGAATCAGGGGAATCTAGGTTCCAATCTCATTTGTCGTGACTAGCTGTGTGGACATAGAGATGTCACATAACTTCTCCAAACCCACATTGTCATCTGCAAAATAGGGATTAAGCCCAACAAAAGGGGTGATATTGACAGGATGACATGGCCAAAGGACTCAGAACATAGTTGGCCCAAGGTAAAATGGAAGTTTCTGGTAGATCCTCACTATGGCTAAAGCATGGGAACATGGTATGATTTCTGAGGATATGATGATGATAGCAGTAAATTGATTGAAAACAGACAGAGCTGTGTGTTCTCAGGTGGCTCTCCTGCACCTCATTTTTGATAGGCACAAAGGAAATGTAATGGGTCAGAATGGGAGCCTGTGGCCCTCAAAGGCAGACTCTGTACTCCCCATCTCTGAGTCTCTGTTACTCAGCACACCTAATCATAAAACCTGAATTAACCAATTGTCGAACAATTGTGTTAAGATTGGAGAATTGCAGTTCCTGAGCAACAACATAGGATTCCAGTTTAGTGAATCTGGCGTGCAAATCCTGGAAGACATACAGTGAGAAAACTGAGTCTATGTATTCCTGATAATAAAAATAGCTAAGTGATGGAATGCTTGCTAGATACATGTCACGTATGAAAACAAGGAGTTCAGAGAGGTTAAGTAACTAACTCAAGGACACACAGCTAGAAAGCTGCAAAGCTGGGTTTTGAATGCACCAGAATTTATACACTCTCAGTCAGTGTTCTCAATCTTTTCATTACTGCACTTCCTGAGGATTCTTTCTACATGCTCCTAATGTCCCAATCCCATGAAATTGTAATATGACAGACACACTGCGTATGTCTCTGTGCTTGATATATATTTGTGCTTTACACATAAACAGTTAGATTTTTGGCTGGGTGCGGTGACTCGTGCCTGTAATCCCAGCACTTTGGGAGGCCCAGGCAGGCAGATCACATGAGGTCAGGAGTTCAAGACCAGCCTGGCCAACACGGCAAAACCCCGTCTCTACTAAAATTACAAAAATTAGCCAGGTGTGGTGGTGGGCGCCTGTAATCCCAGCTACTTGGGAGGCTGAGGCAGGAGAATCGCTTGAACCTTGGAGATGGAGGTTGCAGTGAGCTATGATCTTGCCACTGCACTGCAGCCTGGGTGACAGAGACTCTGTCTCAGAAAAAAGAAAAAGAAAGACAGAAAATTGAATTTGTCCTTAATACCAGCCTTCTATGAGTTCTGAGCCTGTCCCTTAGCTGCAATAGCTTGTGTCTTGGGATTATCAAGGCAGAGTGGAGGAGCACCTTAGAAAACAGAGATGATGTTTTTGATCCCTTTTTAAAAAGTAAACAGTGTGGATTCTTCTCGATTTTCTGTCAAAGCCTTCAGCCCTCACCCCTCAGGAGCCCGGAGCTGGAGTGTGCTAGCCCTCTCTTCCCACTTGCCCTTAATTAATCCCTGAAGACTCAGGGGTCCGTCTCAAGTGGTCTTCAAGAGCCTACTCTGGGGCCTGACAGGGGGCCCACTTGAGTCTCCCCGTCAGGGACAATGGCACTGCATTCTTACCCCGTTTCCGCCCGCCAGGGCTCCCTTCTGACCCTCGGAAAAGGGAAGGACAACAAGGCCCTTATTGGAGGGCCCTGACATTGCAATGCCTGCTTTTGTCGTCTCCCTGGAGTCAGCAGGATCTGCCCCCCAGCCCCCATTCTCGGGCACTTCCTTCCCACTCCCATGGACTGATGTCAGTTCCAGAAAGAGTGGATTGTTCTCCCCAGCCACCCGGCCGTGGAGCGCAGGGTCCAAGCCTGGGAGAAAGAGGGTGCGGAATCATCCAGCACCCTGGAGACAGAAAACTCATTAAACCTCCTGCCAAGGACGCCCCCCATCTGTGGGCGCCGATCCTGCCATTCAACAAGAAAGTGGGTCCTGGCATTTCTGACGGGGTGGGGGACATGGGTTGTCCCTTCTGAGCTCGTAAAATGAATCCTGCCACAGAAAGGAAATGGAGCTTGGGCGTGTTTTGAAGTCCAGAGGAAAGGCAGATGATGGTTATGGGGTCCCTGACTATAAATGTGTGCCTTCTACTTTTTTTTCTCAACGGTCTCATGGCTTTCAGCCAACTAAACACTAATTCAAGGATTTGGTGCCAAGCATGAGGACTCTTCTAGAAAAAGAGGCTAACTGAAGGGGGCATGATATGGTCTTGAATTTTATGGTGACATAGATGCCAAGAGCCTCGGGAGTTTCACTAGTCCAATGTGCCCATTTCACAGGGGTAAAAACAGAGGACCCAAGGAAAGAAAAGAACCCACCTGAAGCTCCTACAGCCCAACATGTAGAAGGTTCTGGGTGTGCATATATATATATATATGTTTTTAGGCAGAGTCTCACTCTGTTGCCCAGGCCGCAGTGTGGTGGCACGATCTCTGCTCACTGCAACCTCGACCTCCAGGCTCAAGAAATTCTACCACTTCAGCCTCCTGAGTAGCTGGGACTACAGGTGCCCACCACCATGCCCGGCTAATTTTTGTAGTTTTTAGTGGAGATGGGGTTTTGCCATGTTGGCCATGCTGGTCTCAAACTCCAGACTTCAAGTGCTCCACCCACCTTGGCCTCCCAAAGTGCTGGGATTACAGGCGTGAGCCACCGCGACCGACCAGATTCTGGCTTTTAAGGGACAATGTTTTCTTCCACAACAACTCTTTCCTGGCCAAAACTTCTCATTACATTTCACATTTTCTATGAAGAACAAATAGAGCATTCTGTTCTATGGTGATATACAGGGATGCAGAATAATGGTTCTATGATGTTTCTTTTCTTTTCTTTTCTTTTTTTTTTTGAGACAGGGTCTCACTCTGTCACTTAGGCTGGAGTGCAGTGGTGTGGTCACAGGTCACTGAAATCTCTGCCTTCTGGGCTCAAGCAATCCTCCCACCTCAGCCTCCCCAATAGTTGAGACTACAGGCGCACATCACTGTGCACAGCTAATTTTTTAAGAATTTTTTGTAGAGACAGGGTCTTGCTATGTTACCCAGGGTAGTCTCAACCTCCTGGACTCAAGTGATCCACCCACCTCTGCCTCCCGAAGTGCTTGGATTACAGGCATAAGCTACCACGTCTGGCCTGGTTCTGGAACTTTAATCCACCTATTAACCATGTGAGTTTGGACCATCAATCTAGCTCTTCAAATTTTCTCTCTTCCCACTGAGGAAAGAGGATCACCTACTTCATAGGGTCATTGGGAAGATTAAGAATGATATTGCAGCTGGGGGTGGTGGCTTATGCTTGTAATCTCAGTGCTTTGGGAGGCTGAGGCAGGAGGACTGCTTGAAGCCACGAGAGCAAGACCAGCCTGGGCAACATAGTGAGACCCCTATCTCTATAAAAAAAAATTAAAAATTAGCCAGGTGCAGTGGTGTGGTCTGTAGTCCCAGCTACTTGAGAAGCTGAGGCTGGAGGATCTCTTCAGCCCAGGAGTTTGGGGCTGCAGTGAGCTATGATTGCACCACTGCACTCCAGCCTGGGTAACAGAACAAGATCTTGTCTCTAAAACAAAAACAGGGAAAGAAAGAAATCTACTTTATCAATCTACAAGGAACCCTACAACTGCCAAGGCAGTTTCTTGAGTCTCCTGACCAAGGCGTCGTCTTTAGAAAACCCTAATGGGGGCCGGGCGCAGTGGCTCACACCTGTAATCTAAACACTTTGGGAGGCCGAGGTGGGCAGATTACAAGGTCAGGAGATTGAGACCATCCTGGCTAACACGGTGAAACCCTGTCTCTACTAAAAATACCAAAGAATTAGCCGGGCATGGTGGCGGGCACCTGCAGTCCCAGCTACTCAGGAGGCTGAGGCAGGAGAATGGCGTGAACCTGGGAGGCAGAGCTTGCAGTGAGCTGAGATCGCGCCACTGCACTCCAACCTGGGCGGACAGAGCAAGACTCCATCTCAAAAAAAAAAAAAAAAAGAAAAAGAAAAGAAAAGAAAAGAAAACCCTAACGGGGAGGTAGAATCTGTTTGGCAAGTTAAATGAATGAAGTTGAAGTTGTCCAATAACCACACCCTCAGAGCAGGGAGTTGGATAGATGATTTTTTTTAAAGTGCCACACAGCCTGGGCAACATGGTGAAACCCCGTCTCTACAAAAACTACAAAAATTAGCTGAGCATAGCAGAACATGCCTGTAGTCCCAGCTACTTGGAGTCTGAGGTGTGAGGACCACTTGAGCCTGGGAGGTCGAGGCTGCAGTAAGCTGAGATTGTGCCACTGTACTCCAGCCTGGGTGACAGAGTGAAACCCTCTCCAAAAAAAAAAAAAAGTTACAGCTTCTGGATGTAACAGCTGTGGTCATCATCTTCACCTTGACGATACCCCCTAAGTCCAAGCATAGGAGTTTTTGAGAAGTGTATTTCAATATAATAGGTCTTCTTTGAAATCTTATGCATTTTATTTTATTCATCTTAAAACATTAATCTGAGAAAGAGTCCATAGGTTTTACGAATCTCTAAACAGGCTGATGGCTCAAAAAAAAAAAAAAAAGGTGAAGGACTTCCAAAGTGTTCAATTAACATTCCTTCCCTTAAGCAGAAACTGAATAGGCAATGAGTTCCATGGGTGTAGGGTCTGATCCTCACTGCGCCCATCGGTAACAGTGCAAGGCATATGATAGATGCTCAATAAATACTTACTAAATAAATACTGGAACTTCATCCCGCCGTGTTCTAGCTATGGTGATGTCATATACTTGACTGCAGCCAAATTCCCCGTCTCCATCTTGTGCCATGGGAACGGTTGTTTTCTCAGGTTTATTCTTTCATGGATCTGCTTTCCTCTGGTAGATGAAGCCTGTTGCTTTCTTTTTCTTTTTCTTTGTGTGTGTGTGTGTGTGTGTGTGTGTGTGTGTGTGTTTGTGTGTGTGTGTGTGTGTGTGTGTGATGGAGTCTTGCTCTGTTGCCCAGGCCGGAGTGCAGTGGCGCGATCTCGGCTCACTGCAACCTCCGTCTCCCAGGTTCAAGTGATTCTCCTGCCTCGGCCACCCAAGTAGCTGGGATTACAGGCATGCGCCACCATGTCCGACTAATTTTTGTATTTTTAGTAGAGATGGGGTTTCACCATGTTGGCCAGGCTGGTCTGGAACTCCTGACCTCAAGCGATCTGCCTGCCTTGGCCTCCCAAAGTGCTGGAATTATAGGTGTTAGCCACCATGCCTGGCCCACTGCCTTGTTTTTCCTGGGAGTCTGCTGACTACCCTATGCTTTATCCCTTAAACATCCCTCTACTCGCCACCTGGTTAACCCCAATTTGTCATTCATGTGTCAGCACTAATGATGTTTTCTTTGAGAAAACCATCCAAGACCACCCTAAAATGTCCAGGTTATTCTTGAATTTCTTATGGATATATCTGACTCCAGTGGGATGGTGAATCAGTTCAAGTTATTTTTTTTTACCTGGAATCCCATTCTTCCCTTTGAGAAATATTCTCACATTATGTGCATTTACATTCATTTGTGTGTTTTCTTGCTTAAGGACTCTCTCCTTCTACAGACTGTAAACTCCACGAGGGCAGGGAATATCTATTTGGGGCATCTCTGTGTTCTTAGCACTTAGCATGATGCTTGACACAGAGGAGGGGTTTAGTAGATAATTGTTGGATGGGTGGATGGGTGGATGGGTGGATGGGTGGATGGGTGGATGGGTGGTTGGATGGATAGAAATCATCAATGATAGAGGAATTGCAGATGGGGCATGGGGGAGAAAGGATAATGGATTCAGGTTGAATATACTGTCTTTGAGTTATCATTGAAATGTCTAGGTAGAGACACTTAGTTCTTTCTCTTGTTCCTGGAACTCAAGAGAAAGATCTGTCCAGACAGAGACTGATTTTGAAGCCAATATATTATTAGGTAATGAAATAAGGAGACCAAGAAGAGAGAGGAACTGAAGATGTAAATCCAGAATTAAAGCATGAATTAAAGAATGGGCAAAAAGAAAGAACATGTTGGTAAAGTGCAGTGGCTCATGCCTGTAATCCCAGCACTTCAAGAGGCCAAGGCAGGAGGATCACTTGAGTTCAGGAGTTCAAGACCTGCCTGGCCAACATGGTGAAATCCCATCTCTACTAAAAATACAAAAATTAACTGGGGATGGTGGTGTGCACCTGTAGTCCCAGCTACTGGGAAGGCCGAGGCATGAGAATTACTTGAACCCAAGAGGCAGAAGTTGCAGTGAGCAGAGATCATGTCATTGCATTCCAGCCTGGGTGACAGAACAAGGTTCCAAGAAAGGGGGAATGGAAGGGGAGGGGAGGGGAGAAGAGGGGATACCTTTTACCTGTGCATTGGGTAGGAAGATGGCCAGAGATGTAGGGAGATAATTAGAATTAGAGGACCATGGAGTCATGAGAGCTGAGGAAAGAAAGCAGTTTCAAGACACATGGTCCACAGAGTTGATGGAGGCCAAGAGAATCATGCAAGATAAGGCCATGTGAACAGTTTCAACAGAGTGTGGCGTACAACAGCAGTGGATGGAGTGCAGCGAGGTTTATCTCTAGCCCTCCACAATCTCCTTCCTGGAATATACTTGATTTAATCTTGCAGCAGTGACTTTTTAACTTTTCAGGAGAGGGGCATAGTTATCCACGTACTTTGACAAGTTGAAGAAAACTATGAATCATCTACCCAGAAAAATGCACATCTATACAGTGTCAGAAAACTAACATTTCAGAGGACTGTGGACCCACTAAAGCTGGAGTCCAGATAGGAAACAACCAACCCAAATTTTAGAGTTAAATTTTTCTTTCTCGCTCTTTTTTTTTTCTTTTTTTTTTTTTTTTTTTTTTTTTACAGGGTCTGGCTTTGTCCCTCAGGCTGGAGTGCCATGGCACGAGCTCAGCTCACTGCAACCTCTGCCTCCCAGACTCAGGTGATCCTCCTGCCTCAGCCTCCTGAGTAGCTGGGACTACAGGTGCATGCCACTACCCTGGCTATTTTTTGTAGAGACGGAGTTTTGCCATGTTGGTCAGGCTGGTCTTGATCTCCTGAGCTCAAGTGATCTGGCTGCCTCAGCCTCCCAAAGCGCTGAGAGTACAGGTGTGAGCCACCGCACCCGGCCTTTCTCACTCTTTTCAAAGCCTTTTTTAACTCAAAAAGTGGAAAATATTTGTTTTCTTTTTTCACCCCTAGGAACAACTAATGAGATTGTGAATAGCTTGTAGGAACTGCCAACATCTCCAAATGGTGTGGATGTTCTTTGGAATCACTTGGGAAACTTTAAAAAAATACTGGACCGGAACTTACACCTGTAATCTCAGCATCCTGGGAGGCTGAGGTGGGCAGATAACTTGAGCCCAGGAGTTCAACACCAGCCTGGGCAACATGGTGAAACCTCGTCTCTACCAAAAAGTAAAAAGTAAAAAAATAAAAATTAGCTAGCCACGGTGGTGCATGCCTGTAGTCCCAGTTACCTGAAAGGCTGAGGCTGGAGGATTGTTTGAGCCCAGGAGTTCGAGGCTGCAGTGAGCCATGATCGCACCACTGTACTCCAGCTTGGGCAATACAGTGAGACCCTGTCCCAAAAAAAAAAGAAAAGAAAAGAAAAAGAAAAAGAAAAAAGAAGAGAAGAGCAAAGAAAGAAAAGAAAAGAGAAGAGAAGAGAAAAAAAGAAAAGAAAAGAAAACCCAGAGAGGGCCTATCCCCCAAACTTTGATTCAACCAGTCTGATGTGGAGCTCAGGCACTGGGAACCCTTAAGGCTCCCCAGGTTAATTTAATGTGCAATTGGGTTGGGAATGGCTGTTCCCAATGGAAGGTTGCCATGGACACGCAAGGATTGGTGAGAGCACACCTGTTTGATTTTTAGCATCACTACATATGTTTTGATTCACACTCAACATTTTTGTGCTCCTTTTGGCTTGCCGGGTTGCCCTTGTGTTTATGGAACATGGAGTTCTCTGGCCTTGAAATGGCTTTGAGTCCTGACATCAGAACTTAACCCTTCTACGCCTCCGCTTCCTTATCTGGGCCCATGAGTAAGCCTGCCAGCCCCCTGCTGCCCTGACTGGCGTGAGCAACAGCAATAAATAAATAAGAACAGAGACAAGAAGCTTATGTACTTTGGAGCTCCTGGTTCTATTTGATGTCATTGGACACCAGTTTGCTTTTCTTTAAAGCCTGTTTCTTTTGAACTGGGCTGCCGCAGTCTATAAAATTTTAACGCATGGATTTCCCATTGTTCGGGTGTCTGTGGGGCACCAGCCTTCCTGTTTCACTGTGGTGTGCCGACCAGGAAAGAAGCTGGCTGGCTGGGAGGTCTGGGGGTAGTTACCTTGTTTCTGGATATGCATGTGATTGTGTTCACTTTAGCAGATGGGATCTCAGACCCCACAAATAATCATAATAGCAGGCGTGCATCAAACTTACTGTCGGAGTCCCTGGGGGGCTCTGTGCGGGATCTGCCTTATCTCCCAACAACCCCATAAAGCAGGGATTATTATCAGCCCTGTTTTAAGAGGAGAGAAGTGAAGTCTCCAAGAAGCTTCAGCCCTTTCCAAGGTCACACAGTTCCTAAGCAAATGGGAGGCATGAGAGGGGAGGGGGACAGACATATCTGACTCTGAAATTCACTCTTTTTTTGTAAGAAATTATAGAAGACTTGTTTTTAGTTTCTTTTCCAAAACCCTGCTGTATTTGCTCAATTTTATTTTTGAGCATGAGCACACACGCACACCATAGCTGCTTTGATATTACATGTTGGGAGTGTTTTCACAGAGCAGAATTGCTAGGGCGTCGAGTGTGCCTCCTGGATGGGGTTTTTAGTGTGCCTCCTGGATGGGGTTTTTAGTGTGCCTCCTGGATGGGGTTTTTGTGGCAGCACAAAGGTGATTGACCTCAAACACAAATTGGCTTGGCCCTCCAGAGTTCACCCAGTCTGCCTCTCTCTCCCTGTGGTTTTTGTTCCTGCCCTTTCTCCTTAGCTACCAGGCCTTGTTCAACCGGGGACAAAACAAACAGGGGCTGTCTGTGGAGAATTGGCCTCTTCAACAACACAATGGGGAGCAGGAGGGGAAACAATTACTCGATAACTCAGATGTGGATGTTAAAACACTCACAACACAACCCCCATGTTTACCTAAATTATCTGGGTAATTGCCTCCATTTTCAGCTTGGATTTGGCTTCTGTAAGTCCTGGGGCTTCACGATGATTAATACGGAGATTGTCATTTAGGCAGAAGCTGAGAGGACCAGGGCAATGGGGCATCCTGATGGAAGGCGATGCAGAGGGGGAGGCCCTGTGTTCTGTGATGAAGTCATGCACTGGAAGGGGAACCTGGGGCAAATAACTTACAGTCTCTGAGCCTCAGTTTCCCCAGCTAACCCTACAGTGAAAGCTGGGTTTTGTGTGTTTATTTGTTTCTGAGACAAGGTCTTGCTCTGTCACCCAGGCTGGAGTGCAGTGGTGCCATCACAGCTCACTGCAGCCTCGACCTCCCCGGCTCAAGCGATCTTCTCGTCTCAGTCTCCGGAGTAACTGGGACTACAGGCATGTGCCACCACACTGGAATAAATTTTGTTTTTTTTACAGATGGGTTCTGGCTATGTTGCCCAGACTGGTCTTGATCTCCTGTGCTCTAGCAATCCACCCGCCTCAGCTTCCCAAAGTGCTGAGATTACAGCCAGGAGCCACCACACCCATTCTTTCTTAATTTATTATTTTATTTTTTAGAAAGACTAGTCAAATACAGTAGTGAGAAAAGGAGAAGGAATAGAATAAGGAGTTCAGTCTGGAACTGATCTGTGAACAATCAATTGAGATAACTCACTAACTTCTGACCAGCCAAAGCTGTTATCTGCACTAGGAAAGGATGGAAGAAGAAAGGAAAGAGAAAAGAAAATTATTGTAGTCTCCTTTGTGTGCACTGAATTGCTACAAGCATTAGAAAGGAGTAAACATGACCTTATGTCTCCCCAGTCAGCCTAAAGGAAAGCAAATCACAAAACCCTCCATTCAGAGGAGCCTCTGCTTTTGTCTTTCATCTTTAGGCATTCTGGTTTTAGTTCACTGGAAGTGGAATCTGAAACAAGGCTGATTTCACCTTGAGCCTGCAGGACCCACCACCATTCAGCTTCCTTTGATTCCCACAGTCTGTTATTTTTAACCTTTGACTGACTCATTTTAAGATGAGACACCCTGCAACCAGCGTGTTCTCTCTAAGACCCTGCCCTGAGGAGGGGACATTTTGTGAATGAACAGGTTATTTTATTGAGGGCCCACTAAATGCTGGATGTCTTCCTGGGCTATAGCTCATTTTCATTTCAAAGTAACTTTTAAATTCTTATTATTAGCCTCATTAGCACCTTGGCAGCCTAGCCTTCAAGAGACTGGGCCCCTGGTCTACGTGTTTTTGTTTTTCTTTTTGTCTTTTTGGTTCTCTCTCATTGCAACAGTAAACTGGCCCAGGACTTTTTTGTGTGGTTTGTAACACGGTTTTCTATTTTGATAAATGGTTGTAGTAGCCATCCCTTCCTTTAGACCAGGAGTCGGCAAGATTTTTCTGCAAAAGAAGATAATAAATATGTCCAATTTGGAGGGTCATACGGTCCCTGCTGAAACAGGACAATATGTAAATGAATGGGCATGGCTGGGTTCCAATAAATCTTTATTTATGATCACTGAAATTTGCATATCATGTAATTTTCATGTCATCAAGTATTGTTCTTTTTTTCTTTTACCATCTAAAAAAGTATGGCTGAGTGCAGTGGCTCGTGTCTGCCATCCCAACACTTTGGGAGGCAGAAGCAAGAGGATCGCTTGAGGCCAGGAGTTGGAGACCAGCCTGGGCAACAAAGCGAGACCCCATCTCCATGTAAGAGATAATCAAACAAATAAATCAACATTAAAAAGTAAAAGTCATTCTTATGTCAGTCCTCCTAAAAACAGGTGGCAGGCTGGGCTTGGGCTGCAGTCTGTATTTTGTTGATGCTGTTGAAAGGACAGCAGAGAAAGGCTGGAGTGACAAGTGGAAAAGTCCCAAATGACCCAAATATTTCAAGTAGAGGAAATGCAGCTAAACAGACTTTGAGGTCAGCTTTGATCAGTTGCTCCTGATCTTGTAAGAAGCCCTCACTAATTGCCCATTATTTGCATGGTCTCCTGATAGCAGTTCAGTGAATAACACCCATCAGGTCCTTGCTGGTGGGTTGTTTACACTCCCCTAGGGGGTACATATACTAAATATCTCATTATGGAATTTGTTATCTAATTATAATTATTAACTGCTCAGTAGAAGAGGTGTTAGAGGCCCTGAAAACCTGTAACAGGGAGACCTAAAGCAGTGTGGGAGGCTAGGAAAGACTTTCTGGACAAAGTGATGCACGTGCTGAAATGAACCCGAAGAGAAGGTGGGGAACAGGCTGGGTGGCCCACGCCTGTAATCCCAGCACTCTGGGAGGCTGAGGTGGGCAGATTACTTGAGCCCAGGAATTTGAGACCAGCCTGGGCAACACAGTGAGACCCGGTCTCTACAAAAAACAAAAAAATTAGTCGGGCGTGGTGGTGTGTGCCTGTGGTCTCAGCTGCTTGGGAGGTTGAGGTAAGAGGATCACTTGAGCCCAGGAGGTCAAGGCTGCAGTGAGCCATGATGGTATCACTGCACTCCAGTGCCTGAGTGACAGAGTAAGACCCTGTGTCAAAAGAAAATAAATGAAAAAAAAAAAAATGGTGGGGAAGGAATTCAGGCTAAAGCAGTGATTCTCAACCAGGGGTGATTTGCCTCTTCTCCTCCGACCCGGGACACTTGGCAATGCCTGGAGACATTTTCTATTGTCGCCAACTAGAGAAGAGGATGCTACTAGCAACTGCTGGGTAGAGGCCAGTGCTACTTCTAAACATCCTACAGTGCGCAGGACAGCCCCCCACAACAGAGAATCACCCAGTTTGAAATGTCACCAGTGCCAAGGCTAAAAAACCTTGGGCTGAGGGAACAGCATGTGCAAAGATGTTGAGTAGGAGAAAAGAAGTATGGTGACTTGGGCAGCATAGTTTGATTTTAAAGAAGGCCGGGCGCGATGGCTCACGCCTGTAATCCCAGTACTTTGGGAGACTGAGGCGGGTGGGTCACTTGAGACCTGGAGTTTGAGACCAGCCTGGCCAACATGGCGAAACCCTATCTCTACTAAAAATACAAAAAAATAGCCTGTTGTGGTGGCAGGCGCCTGTAAACCCAGCTGCTTGGGAGGCTGAGACCTGAGAATTGCTTGAACCCAGGAGGTGGAGGTTGTCGTGAACAGAGATCATGCTGCTGCACTCCAGCCTGGGCGACAGAGCAAGACTCTGTCTCAAAAAATAAAATAGGCTGGGCGTGATGGTTCACGCCTATAATCCCAGTACTTTGGGAGGCCAAGGCTGGAGGATTACCTGAGGCCAGGAGCTTGAGATCAGCCTGGCCAATATGGCGAAACCCATCTCTACTAAAAACACAAAAAGTAGCGGCCAGGCGCAGTGGCTCACACTTATAATCCCAGCACTTTGGGAGGCCGAAGCAGGCAGATCGTGAGACCAGGAGTTCGAGAGCAGCCTAACCAACATGGTGAAAACCCATCTACTAAAAATACAAAAATTAGCCGGGTGTGGTGCCACATGCCTGTAATCCCAGCTACACAGAAGGTTGAGGCAGGAGAATTGCTTGAACCTGGGAGGTAGAAGCTGCAGCGAGCCGAGATCGTGCCACTGCACTCCAGCCTAGGCGACAGAGCCAGACTCCATTTCAAAAAAAAAAAAAAAAAAAAGTAGCTTGGCGTGGTAGTGCATGCCTGTAATCCCAGCTACTCAGGAGGCTGAGACAGGAGAATCGCTTGAACCTGGGAGGCAGAGGTTGCAGTGAGATGAGATCATGCCACTGCACTCCAGCCTGGGTGAGAGAACGAGACTCCATCTCAAAAAATAAAATAAAATAAGAATAGAGGGCAAAGTGAGTCTGGAGAGAGAAGTGGGGGCCAGATCAGGCATGCCATAGGAGGCAGGGAAGGTTTGACTTGATGCCACAGAAGTCACTGAAACAGGAAGCTGATGAGGGCCATGGGGTCAGTCCTGTGTGGACCAATGGGTTTGAGGGGAGGCAGTCAGGAGTGGATTTGGGGAACCCCATAAGGCCAGGATTACCACTGGTGGGAAAGGCTGCCAGCAGCAGCTAGAATTGGCATAATCATCCTGGACCTCTCCCAGTAAGTGCGGGACCAGGAGAAGGCCTCATAAAAAAAGACAGCTAGTTGGAAGACCAACCTCATCTTACTCATCTTGGAGTATTTTTAACCCACACACTGAATCTCAACTCAATTAATATCAAGGCCAGGCACAGTGGCTTATGCCTGTAATCCCAGCACTTTAGGAGGCCTAGGCAGATGGATCACTTGAGGTCAGGAGTTCGAGACCAGCCTGGCCAACATGGTGAGACCCCCATCTCTACTGAAAATACAAAAATAAGCCAGGTGTGGTGGTGCATGCCTGTAATCCCAGTTACTCAGGAGGCTGAGACAGAATCACTTGTACCCAGGAGGTGGAGGTTGCAGTGAGACGAGATCATGCCACTGTACTCCAACCTGGATGACAGAGCAAGATTCAGTCTCAGAAAATAAATAAATAAATAAATAAATAAATGTCAGTTGAATTAAATAGATGGAGATTGGTGAAATTGGAAATTGGCATAGGAGATGAAGAAATTTTCTAGAACGCTCAAGAGGGAAAAAATGCTAAGTAAGGCTGGACATGGTGGCTCACGCTTGTAATCCCAGGACTTTAGGAGGCTGAGGCGGGTGGATTGCTTGAGCTGAGGAGTTTAAGACAAGCCTGGGCAATATGGCAAAACCCTGTCTCTACCAGAAATACAAAAAAAAAAAAAAATAGCCAAGCAAGGTGGCACAAGCCTATAGTCCCAGCTACTTGGGAGGCTGAGGTAGGAGAATTGCTTGAGCCCAGGGGGTAGAAGTTGCAGTGAGCTGAGATTGTATGCCTCTGCACTCCAGCCTGGGTGACAGAGCCAGACCCTGCCTAAAAAAAAAAAAAAAAAAAAAAAAAAAAAAAAAAAAAAAAAAAAAAAAAACCTCTGTCTTTGTTGGAATTTCCAAAACGGGAAGGAAGTAGGAACTATTGACAGAGCAGGTGCTTTGCAAGGATATTTGTCCCTTGCTCTTTACAGCACATCTGCCTGTAAGGATGTGGGTATCATTATTCCACTTTTATTTTATGAGGAATTAAGACCCAGAAAAGTTAAGCCACCTGGCCAAAGGACACTCAAAAAGTAGGTGGCAAAGCCAGGACTCCAGTCCCATTTTTCTGCCTCCAAATTCTAGTTATTTGCCTTGCCACCATTCTCTCTATCTCTTAGTTTCCAGGAAATGGCCATGGGGTTTGCTTCACTGGAATGCAATTCCATGAGAACAGAGACCATGTCCCAGTGATGATTAATTGCTGAATAAATGAATGATAACGTAAATGAGTATGTGACTCAGCCTTCCAGAAGTATTGGAAAAGCCCCATGCACTTTCCTATGGCACCAGCAGATGGCGGCAAAAGAGCAGCTTAGCAAAGGCAGAGGCAAACACTTGGCGTTTCTTTCATTTATGTATCCTCTCTTCCTTGATCTTTGCAAAACAGGTAGCTTGCATTTCCCCCATCCTCCACCTTCACTACTCCCCTCCCCCCATTCTGGGAGGAACCAAGAGGTAGTGCTCACAGACTGCAGTCCCCTCTTTCTGTTTTGACCTCTTTGCCCCACCTCAGAGACAAGGTTATTTCAAGAAATGGAAGAAGAAATAACACCAGAAGAACTTTAATGGCAATGAAAACCAGTGCAGAAATGACCTTTTTATTGACAAATAGAGAAAAGGTATCATGTCCCCAGCTGCTGATGAGGCAGACACAGACTGTCCCCCAACATTGGCCTCATCATCCATACTTTTGTGATTTGCCTTGAAGGGAAGTATGGGGTAGAATAGAGGTGGGCAGGGGGAATTTCTTGTTGCGAGGAACTGAAACGGAAGTGTTGGGGATGGGATGGTGGCAGTGGAGAGGAGAGGGTAGCCTTGGTTTACATCATTTTGTTTGAAATCAGTCTTGATTTCCTTGACGCCAGGAGGAAATCCATCCCTAAGTGGCCAAGCACCACCCAGAGGCATTTATTTAGTCAGGGCCTAAGAGTGACAAGGGACTTCCCTGTGATCCTATTTTAACAGAGGGGAGGAAAGAGGAATAACTATCTTTTCCCTTGAACATTCTGCAGTGTCTAGACTATTCCTTTATGTCTGTGAATTTTCATGTGTGGTTGGTATGTTTACCTGAAGAAAAAGTGAAAGAGACACAAGAAGGGCACAATGATAGAGAGAAAATACATCCACTGCAACCACTACAACCTCTGCCTTCCAAATTAGTGGGATCCCTGGGCACATTTAAACTTGACCCACACACATGTTTTGGGTAGATGCCTACTTTGTTCTAGGCTTTGCTGAGCAATGAAGAGAAAGGGAATTACCTGCATTGAAAGAGGTCCAAGCCTCCCCCTTGTTCATTTTTGCCCCAAGGAAAAGATTCAGGTGATTCTCAGGCCCCAAACTACCCCCTTCCAAACTATTCACTCTGATGTTCCAAAATTCAAACCCCTCTCCAAGCAATCACAAGAATAAGGGTAAAACATTAAAAAAAAAAAAAAAAAAAAAAGCCCCCATTCCACCAGGTATGAAAAGAACTAAGCCTTTCTGAAGACCCAAACATGGGTGAAACCTGTCCATAGCACATGTCATCCTGACGTATGTGGAGGTGGAAGGTGTAGGGGTGCAGGGGCCAGGGAACCCCCAACCTGGACCCCAATAATCTCTCCATGAAGGGGACTCCCTTGTAGCTCGTTTTACCCTTGATCTTGAGGTGGGAGGCACCTACTAAAAAGCAATGTTGTTTTATGAAAAGTGGTTTCCTTTTATTACCTGTGATAGCCCAGTGGGGGTGGCCCTAGCAACAGGAAATTAACACAGAATTCATTGGAGGGCGATAATGATTGTTCATAACCATTGGGTTGATAAGTTAATATCATTAATTACTCAACAAATTATACAATGCCCGAGGCCTTGGGGTCTGGAGACTATTTAAGATAAGCAAGGAAATAGCGTCCTTCCCTGAGAGACACAGAGAGAAATCTTCTAAAGTTAAATTCTACTTAGCCAAGACTAGAATCGTTAGGGACCACCTGAAATGTTCCCCAATCCTCTCATTTCGTATTGTTCCCAGAGAGTGATGGGGGGGGTCTTAATTTATTTGGGCTCACACACTTCTGAGAATCGGAGATAAATTGTAGGATCCCGTCGAGAAATGTGCACCTCTGCACAATAACAAACTTGCGTATGATTTCAGGAGATTCACGGGAAGTCCTGAGCCCTCTCTTCCTGTTAGAAGTCCTAGCCCTGGGACTAATCCCCAATTAGCTCAAGGGTGCCGGCTCTGGAGGAGTGGGTGCCCTGGGGGCGGGGTGGGCGGGGGGGAAGCCGGGTGTCGGTTGGGGTGGTGGGTGCGCCATTTGGCAGATACATATTCAGCGCTGGTGCTTCTAACAGGCTCCCACTGCGGCTGTATGCCTGGGTTGGGAGGGTTGGAGGTTGAGGGTGACTAAGGTAACGACCGGAGACAGCTGGCGCTTCTGCGCGAGTGAAGGGCGCCCGGTCCCGGCATAAAAAAAAAAAAAGTTTTGTCAACGATGCCCGCGTTCGGGACTGGGGTGGACAATGCGCAAAAGCGTTAGGAAAAAAGTTCGCGCCCGACTGTGGGTTCTGTGCCTGCGGTGTTCTTGACGCTTTGGGGACATTTGGGAGGCAAAGGGTGCACCTTCCTGGGCCCGCCGCGCGGGCGCGAAGAGGACCTAGGCGAGAGTTGGCTGTGCGGGCCTGGGGAAGCGAGTCTGTCCTCCGGGTGCAATTCCCCAACCCGAAACCAGAGCCCGGGTCATTAGCGGGAAACCGAAGTGGCGCGGGGATCGCATTTCAAAAGCTCAAAGAGACAGGCTGACTGGGAGCGCTGGAATTGGGGCGGGGGGGTGGGGGGGCGATGGTGGGGGTCGGGGATGGTGAGGGGAAGAGCCGGACCGCCCGGACAGTAGCCGTACAGATTCCAACTGGTTGGGTCCCACCCCCACAAAACCCTCCTCTCTTTTGCGCCCCCCGCCCCCCGATTCCAGAGGCTGCGCCTGAGTCTCATTCACTGCTTTGGGGAGACCCGGGACCCAAAGGCCGTCAGAATTCACCCCAGCCGCGGGACAGAAGCGCCTTACGTTTTGGGGGCAGGCGCTATTCCCTACTCAAGCCAGTTATTTCCACCCCTACCCAGTGTGCAGCCAGACCCAAGCTCTGGCTCTCTAGGGCCGTGGGGCCTGCAGTTGTCCAGGCTGCGGGAACCTGGGCCGCACTGCCGGGTAACCAGGCAGCGCTTTTCCTTCGCGGGGCTGCACCCTCAGCACCCCTTCGCCGGCTTCTCTGTAGAATCCTTCTTTCCACCAGCTGAACCCCTGGGCTTCTAGCTGGGGCCAAAACGTTGGAAGTGAGAGGGCGGAAAAAACTAAAATGTCATAGGTTCCTGGAAGCTGGGCAGGGTTGAACCCAGAAAGAGCGAAGATCTCTCTGCCTGCGGCGTCTCCACCTGCAGTCCCCGGACTGCGCTCGGCCTTGGCGCCTGGGTAGACAGAACATAGCAAATGCTAGGGACGCGGGGGAGGATCTGAGGCCAGCAGAGAAAGCCTCAGACACCCAAAGCCCCAGTCTTGGTTCCAGACCCCGCGGGAGAGGGAAACCCCGGCGTCAGCTTGGTGGTCGCCCTGCGGGCCCCGGCGTACGCCAGCGCTGTTGGAATTTCCTCTCCCCCGCGGTTTCCCTCGCGGTTCAGATCGGGACCAGAACGCGATCAGCTTCAGTGCCCCGCCGCAGGCATTTTTAAATAGAGTATTGCGTCCCCCATTCAGCCTCTCTCTTCCTCTACCGGGGAACAAAGGCCCCAAAACCGCGGTCTTAGCTGGGACGGGTGTCCCAGGACACACAAGAGGGTTGGCCGGGGAGGGGGATGCTGAAATAAAAGCTGTCCTTTTACATAGCACGACAGATGCACAAAGAAATTTGAACGTTCTCGTATTAAAAAAAAAAAAAAAAAAAAAAAAAAAAAAAAAAGCCTGCGGCACACTCCAAAATCCGGAACATCCCCTCAGATTTCTGTAAATCCGGGACATATGCGCCGCAGGTACGTACACCTTCAGCTGAATTAGGAAAGGGAATTACAGTGGATCCTGGAGCCCACTTCGGTTTGAATCCTGGCTCCATAATTTCCCCCAGAGGATCTTGGGTAAGTGATTTAATGGTCTATGCCTCAGTTTCCTCTCTTGTAAAACAGAGATAAAGATCATATATCGTTTATGGGGTTAACTGTGAAGGCTAACGGGGGTCACTTTTATGGGGTGCTTCACCGAGTGCCTGGCTTGTGCACGTGTCCCTTGTATGCCAAGTATTTATATTATTCTTGTTTCGTGTACTTTGAACTCCGACATCTGCAACATATACTTCTTGATTATACGCATCTTGATTATAAAACAACCAAATGCATCTACATCCGGAACTGTCTTGCGCATGAACTTCTAAACCCAAATTGGAAGAGACAGCTACAGATGGAGCACGCACAGCTACACGCAAACATACACATATCCTTCTAACACCTGCAGCTCCTGGCCCCAGAATGCAGACACCCAAGAGCTACCCTTAGATAGGAGTCTATACTGGGCTACCTACAGAAGAACCCAGGTCGCCGCTGGCGGCCTCGCAGCTGCACCCCGACAGCCACTTTCTTGGCTGGTTGCCGTGAGGTCACATTGGAAACCAGCGAGGCAGAAAGCGCGCTGTCGTGAAGCGTTGCAAGCCTCTCGTAGCGGCCTGAAGGCGGCTGTCTGTCTGCTGGCTTAGGGGAAAGGTCAGAATCTGGGTTTTCCTTCTTGGATGGAAATTTTTTTAAGGGCCTACACGTCAGGAACTGTCCCCACAAAGAAAGAGTGGGTCCCAGAACAGCGCAGATCTAGAGAGAGGCCCTAATCGCGCGAGCGCGCACACACACACGCCCTCTTGCACACACCCGGCTCCTTCAGGTTGCCGGGACCTCGGGAGGAGGGAGCCGCAAGGTCGTGACCCCTGCCTCTGCCCGAGCGCGCCCTTCGGCCCCTGCAATTAGCGCCGGGAGGTCAGCAGGAACCCGGACGCCTTCACCCGCGGCTCAAAGCACAGCAAAAGGCGACCCCATCCCCTCCCCTCCGCGGGTCTCAGACTCCAGGGCGCAGCCAGGACTGGAGCCGACCTTCCCGACAGGCAGGGGTTGGAGGCCTCTGACCGGCACCCGCATTTGTCACCTTAAATCTACAAGTCACGAAGGTGCTGGGCCCTGCAGGCTGCGGTAGCTGACCCTCGTAGGGACTGCTGCTCCCGCGAGTCATGGCCTTTGTCCTTGTAGACGCGGCCAGGTTAAAAAACAAAAACTTCCAAAGTTGTGGAGTAAAAAAGAGAGCATCCTGGTACTGGCAAGTTGTCCCCAGGGCAGAATTTGAGGTGTGTATGTTGGGGAAGGAGGTATCCTTTCTCTATCGACCCATCGCGAATTCAGGTTATCCCCCGCCAGGCGGGGTCCAGAACAAGGGTCTAGAGATTTCTACAAGCAGCAAGGAACTTGTCCAGAGAATTACGAGCCAGGGTTCCCGCACTGAATTTTCTAACATTCTTTGGAAACCCAGAGGAGGGCAGGGCTGTTTTTCTCATCTGAGGCACAAACGGGAGTGAAAGTGATATCCAGGAAAGAGGGGAAGGCAGCTTCTTCCGAGGCTGAGAATGGGGCTGGGGACGGAGGAGGAGGGGAGTGGGGCTGGGAGTGGTGGGGATGAGAAGGGGCGAAGGCGAAGCGCCCAAGTTCCGGAACCCGGGAGGCGCTGGGGTGCCGAGCCAGCTGCGGCGACCTGGACGCATTCGTAGACGAGACAGATAGGTGGCACTCGAAGCCCAGAAAAAAGGCGAAGGCGCCTGCCCTGAGTGGCCTCTGGGGCGGCCGCAGCCACCATAAAGCCTGCGGCGAGATTGCGACCGGCGCCAGGTGAGTAATAGGCAGCAAAATCCAGAGAGACTGCGAGCCGTTCATCCCCTCCACCCCCCGCCCATCAGCGCTACAGGAGTTACTCATTAACATCACAATATACAAATGAGATACACAGGAGATTAAAAAAAAAAAAAAAAAAAAAAGAGGAACGCCAGTAAGAGAGGCTGGACACAAGTCTGAGCAGGGTCCCCAAATCGGGGGCGGGGGGAGAGAAGGGAGGAGGTAAGCAAATTTGGACTGAGAAAGAAGAGAAAAGCAAAGCATTTCTTCCCTTTTGGAGGCTGAGTTCTTTTTTCCCCAATTCGGGAGAGCGCAACCAGCCAACTACCACCTTCTCAGAGGCGCGGACACCGCGCGTTGTCGCTGGATCCAGAGCTGCCCCCTTCAGGCTGTAGCCGCTGCGCAGAAGGAGCGCGCCCTGGAAATCTCCCAGTCCTCGGGGGAGCCCCAGCCTCAAAGGTCCCCAGGGCCCGTCTCAGCTCAGGCCCTGCCACCCCCGCAGCGCACCCCGCCCCTCCCCCCCCCCGCGACTCCGCACCAACATACTCTGGTTGTCTGTCTTCCCTCCCACCCCCGGAGACATCGCAGAGGAGGCTGTAGGGGTCCCCACGTGCCTGGCCAGAGATGGAAGGGGCTTTGCCCCGCTCTCCAAAAGGTCTCGACCTCGATCCCTTCCAAGTACAGGATGAGGGAAGGGAGGGGGCGTCCTCCTCTCCGGTCATTCAAGAGGCCTGAAGGTGACAGGGACTTGGGGCCGGGCTGGCGGGCTCCAGGGGGTGGCGGGTGGGGGGTGGGGAGGGAGGCAGCCGCCAGGCAGGCTCCAGCTGGGTCTTCACGTCATGGCCCCCAGGGCAAGAAAAGGGCTAAGGACTAACCCTCGAACCTTCCCGTGCCGCCCCCGCCCCCCAACAGACACACACCTCGGAGGCGAGGCTGGGGGTCGGGAGACCAAAAGACTGACAGTGCCTCATCATTTTTTATTGAATGTTTCAAAGATAAATTGAACTTCAAAAGGCAACTCCCCGAACAGCCTGGAGACGGGTTTGAAGGGGAGACTAGGGGAGGATGTCAGCCTCCTGGGTGACTTTTGCCGTGGAGGGGGTGAAATGTGCACCCTGGAATTACCTTTCCCCTTTCGGGGATAATTTCCCTCCTCCCTCGCGTGACACAGCTAAGTTTTCGCGGAGCTGGCCGCGCTTTGCACGCACAACTCGGGATGGATGGGGCCTCGTAGGGGCGCCTTGGGCCAGCCGGGTTCAATTTGAGGCACCAGGGACTGCAGGCTGTGTGGGGGGTTGCCGAGTGGAAAGGCGTTGCGTCTTGTCCACTTCTACAACCTGGAGGGTTGCTGCCTAGCCAAGCCCGCTCGGACTGCTGGGGCATTCTGCTGGCCTTTTCCCCGAGCCAAACACACTGGTGCAAGAAGGTATTTTCGACTTGGATTCGCCAGATTGATGTCAAAACTGAGGGCGAGCTTAAAACGAAAAACATTCGTACTTGCCGAGCTTACTTTTGGTCGGATTCGGGTGGGAAAACCTGACTTAGGGAGCACATCAGTCTTTTTCCATTAAAACTTAAAAGTATCTGAAATTACCCTTCTTTCTGTATTCTCATCAGGCCCCTTTCCGTCTCCCTGCTTTGCTCCCTAATTTAAAGGAAAAGTAATTTCAGATTGAAGTGGCTCCCTTCGCTCAAGTAAGGGACTTTTGTTTTTAGCTTTGTAACTTGAGTGACATCTCATTTTGGTTCGCTGGGGGCGGTCTTAATTATTTAAAGGCGAAGGGAAGGGGGTAAACTCAGAACAAGAAGATACTAAACCCTCCCCTGACTGTCCATCTTCAGGAAAGGTTCCCAAAGAAAAAACATTTAACACAAGGCCCAAAGACATTTCAATAAAAATTTATTGAAATTTCAGTGATGTTTTAAAGAGAGGGGGAAAAATACAGAAAACCAAAGAACTCATCAACAACTATAACACAAAATATACCTTCATGAATTTGTCTTTAAACCATCTCTCAGCACCTGACTTTTGAACTGTGAATATATCTCTATAGGCAGGCACCAATTCAAAACACCGATACTGACAACAGTAGTAAATTCCACTTCGTTTTGAGGAAATCAGAGACTAGCAAATACAAATAACAAAAGAAAAATTAAAAAGTCAAACCGCAGCCTCTGCCCTCCTCCCTCCCCACAGCAATCTCAGTTATATTTTAAGGAATTTGAAGTGGAGCTGGAAAGTGGCACTCCTTCCCCAATTTTGGTGAAAATAGGAAATAGCACTTTCCCCCACTTTTGGACATTAAAAAAGAAAACAAAAATGTTGCAGACAACTCTTTTGAAAGGGTATTGGTGTTGGTGCAGGAAGTGTGTTTTCTAGTGTTAACAGCAATTCTGTGACCTGGAAATAAACCCAACTAAAGGAAAACAAGAACACAAAACCTGACAGTTGCAATTCTATTTACACAGAGCTATGTACAATGTCAATAAATTAAAGTTTAATTTTCCAAGCATTCATATTCCACCTATTTACAAGAGTTATCAAATAATTACATAAATACTTTGTCTAATAGTCTCACTTCTTTATTATTTTTTTAAAACCTTGTTATTGCATATACAGGAAAGAGAAAGAACTGTCAAAGAACGACATGAATCCTGCTACAGAGCTTAGATATAATAAATTCATTTTATGTGTTTTGCCCACTCCTTCCCTTTAAATCCCCCCCTCCCTTGGGTCACTGATTTGAGGGCAAAGGATTGGGAAAAGGGTAGGGGGCTATATTGTTTTCTCTCTAAAAGCAAGCGTTCAAAATAAAAACCACAAATACATTACTGTGGACATGCAAGAAGAGACCTACAGCGGCTCTGAAAACATCACAAGAATATTAAAAAGACACAGATTTTCTTAATATAGACTAAACAAGGATGGTAGGGACTTCCCTCCCCAAACAAAGCTGCTCAGTAATTTATTGAGAACCGATAATGCAAGTCCCTATAAAGTTTTTAATCTGCACAAACAGAATCATGTTAATGTGTTCACTTGTCCCGATTTTTTTTTTGAAAGATTTTGTTTTTGTTTCCACTTGACACAGTGAAGGAAAAATATATATATAAATCCGCACTGAGGGAGATGTCTTTGAACACCTCCCCGCCTGGTGGGCAGAGACCCAGACCAGCCTTGCTGGAAGTTGCTCTGGACATAAATGTTGGAACTCCTACCCCCAGTAGCTCAATGCAACCGACGTTTCTGAGCCCCCAGAATCTGATCCAGATCCCGGACATATAAACCACGCCAAGAAGACAGGGGCTGTCTCTAGCACATTCTCTCGAGGGAGTCCGGGGCCCCTTCCCAGACGCAACTGCAAAAGGAAGGGCTAACGCCATGGCGGGCCCGTGGTTTATTTTATATCCGACAAAGTGCACGGCAGCCTGAACTGGACTGGAATGAAAAGACGTGTCTGGGACGGGTCTACGGGGACGCGCTGCGGGACCTGTCCGGCTTGGCTTCCAAGCCGCTAACCAACCGCTGGATGCTCTGCAGTTCGCTGGTGGCCGCCTCTTTCTCCGCGCAGAGTTTGGGCGACAAGGACATGGAGCTGGAGGAGAGCGTGGAGGAGCGGCTGTTGAGTTCAGAGCCCGAGTCCACTGCCACCGAGGCCGGGCTGGCGGCCAGGGCGGCGACTTTGCCGTCCAGGGGCCCCGCGGCCGCCGCCATGGAGGGCAGGGCGGTGGTGAGCAGACTGCTGCCGTCCGGGACCGGCACCGGGATGGAGTAGGGGCTGTAGCGCAGCCGCGGGCGCATGGTGTTCAGATTGAGGAAGGGGTGGCGGTGCACCGAGCTGGAGGCTGCCGCAGAGGAGGCGGCCGCCGCTGCGGCCATGTACGTGTAGGGGTAAGGGAACAGGCTTCCGAAAGGGGACATGGCCAGGCCCTGGGGTGAGAAAAGAGACACACAGCGAGTCAGCCGGGTGGGAGGAGCTTATCTCATCCCTCTCCTCTCTTCTCCCCCTCCAACATTGGGCAAGCCATGAATCCCTGGTATGTTCTGTTGTTGTTGTTGTTGTGTTTTTTTTTTTGGGGGGGGAGATAGGTGGGGGCAGGAGAGAAGTCAACACTCAGAAATCTCTAGGTACAAATCTTAGCTGTGTCACCCTAGGCCAAGAGACTTTGATTAACTTGTGCCTCAGCTTCCTTATAGGAAGAAAAAACAGGGAAATCATAAGTAATTCATATACTTATTGAGGACTTTGTAGATATTAAATGAGTGAAAGCCTGCAATATGCTGCACACAGTGTGTGCAGCCCCCAGGAAATCTCCTTGCACCTGTTAAATGGGGATACAGATTCAGTTTACCCCACAGAGGTAACCAAGGGGAAGCCGGAGGACATAAATTAGTAGGAATAATTTTTTAAATCTTTCTTCTTCCCCAACCCCCATCCTCCCACCCCAATCCTAGAAGTTTCTCCAAACAAAACAAAACAAAACAAAAAAAACAGACAGTGAAGATCTTAAGCAAAAGGAAACTGGGGCTGGGGGAGGGAAAAAGGGCATTTGTTATAAACAGAGACAAAGAAATCGTCCAGCATGATTCACTGGTGTTCCAGGTGAGAAGCCGAGGTAGGCCGCAGGAGTTCAGGAGTGCACTAAGCTGGGAATTGGCAGAAGCAGCATTTAAGATGCAGGCACCCTGGCCTGGGCCAGTTCTCTGCATCATGCCTTGAGGTGCCCTTAAGGTTTTGTCTGTTCAGGTAGTCCTTGGTGTACCAACCACCTGCCCACCTAGGACAGGGTCTCCCGGAGAAGCCAGCAGAGGAGATGGGAGGAATTGAGAAATGCCAGAAGCCAAGCCTTTCCTCAGCTCCCTCCTCCCTGGAGTGGGGAGGCCAATCTGGTTTCTTGGCGCAGGGAAGGGAGACCAGACGAATGTGCTCAGACAAAACAAAAGGCAACAGCATGCAAAACCTCATAGAACCTTTTCATCGAGTTCAGGGTGTTTCCAGCCGCCTGAGACCTCCCCCCAGCACAGCTGTCTGAGCCACACACAGGCCTCCAGGCCTGCCCCAGTCCCTGCTTATCCCTGTCCTCTGACATTTCCCACGTGTGCACAAACCATTAACCCTTCGAGGAATAGGCTGGCCTGCTTGGGGTTGGGGGTGGGGAGAAGAGCTTCGAACTGGGAGGAAAGGCTGGAGGAATCAAGACTGAACTCCTACTCAGGAAGTAGTCACTTCCCCTCCCCAGGCCTAGAGTCCCATTCCTGGGGAAGGGTTGGCTATGAGACACTTAAGAGACATGTCAGCTCTGAAGCTAAAATCAGAAACCCTCAAAGAGGCCCTGGAGTCAGATAGCCTGGGGTTGAGTCTCAGCTCCACCATGTACCCGCTGTGTGACCTTGGACAAGTCACTCAACATCTCTGGGCGTCTTCGCCTTCATCTGTAAAGTGGAGGTGATAATAGTACCCCTGAAGGGTTAGGTCAAATGAGTCAATACAGAGCAAGCACTTAGAAGAATGCCTGAAAGTAAGTGCTGTGTCCAGCTGTTATCTTTGTTACTACCTATCTACTCTGCTGGAAACAGCCTTTAACTTCGGAAAAATTTTAAAGATTTTTGGGGTGAATGGGGAGAATGAAGTCATAATAACTCCATGAGCTAAGCCTTGAACCCGGTAATGGCTCAGTAAAAATTATTACAGCTACTAGGCCAAAGGGATCGGGTGAGGGTCTGCTGGCAAAGGACAGGGAAACTGGACGAAAGGTGGAAAGACTGGTGGAGGCAGGAAGAAGGATCCATACCTGAGAGGCCAGGACGTGCTGCTGGAGGTGGAAGGGCAGGGTGGCCGCGGACGCCCCGGACAGTCCCTGCGCCGCAGCGGCAGAGGCCATGGCCGTGGAATCCAGGCCCGAGACACCGGTGGAGGCCCCAGAAACCGTGGCCAGGAGGGGACCCATGCCAGCGGCCGCCATGCTGGAGAAGGCGCCCCCCATGGCAAACTGGCTGGGGTGCAGGAAGAGCGGGTGCCCGTTGAAGAACTGTTGGCCCGCCAGGCCCGGGGCGAAGCCGAGGCCAGGCAGGGGGCCCTGGGCCAGGTGCGCGGCGGCCGCGTCCGTCTGCACCGTGAGCGGCGCGAAGGCCTCCTTGCCCGGGAGCGCGCGCGCCTCTTCCACCTTGGCCGGCGCTGTGCCCTCGCGAACCGGGCTCCTGCGCTCCTCCGCGCCCAGGCCGCGAGTGCTGGACGAGATGGTGGCGGGGCTATGGCGTGAGTCGGGCGACGCTTTGTCCAGCCGCCCGCTGTCCCGGGGCCGCTCAGCAGCGAAAAGGTGAGCCTTGACCGCGGGGCTGCCCTTGTCACGGCAGGGCTCCTCCGACGTGGTGGTGGAGATCTTGGCCGCGTCGCAGGCCTCGGGGCCATGCTCCTCTTTGCTCTCGGCCTCGGCGTCGCTCTCACCCTCGCTGGGACATAAATCTACCACAGGCGAAGGAAAAAACCAAGGCAGAAGGGCGTTATCTCCAGTATGAGCCAACGGAACTCCAGTTCCCAAGTTGGAATCCCAGCTCGTGGCTTAGTGGCTGTGTAATCCCGGGGAAAGCCCCTTAGCCTCTCTGCACCTCAGTGTTGTCATCTGCAAAATGGGGATAATCGTGCCCAACAACATTGCTGGAAAATTCAATAAGCGATTATGAATTTAAAGTATTTACCCAGAGTTTAAACTTTCCCTTAGATGGACAATCCCCTAATCAGTAGCTCTTCTTATTTTAATGAATTTTACTTCTTTTTTTGAGTTCCTACAGTGGCAGATTTCACATGCATCTCCCCATTCGATTGCAAATTAACTTTTTAAAAGTAAAAAGTAACATTAAAACTCACAGCTGGAACATATTCTAATTACTATCAAAAAATCAGTGAATGACAGAGAGCAGCACCTTCCACAAATTTGTGAATTACTCTGGAAGGATTTGTTTGGCAAGAACCCTGACATCTGAATTGATAATGGCAGAACGGACACCTGTCCTTCAACACCAGTACTCAGTTGAACCGTTTGTATTTGCCCCAGTCCCTGCAGAGAGAGATGAGTGTCGGACAGATGGCTCACAGCCCGGGGACGATCATAGATTCTTTTTTCGCTTTTACCACACCCTCTGTGGGTGTTCCACCAGAAGAAAAGAAAAAGGGATCCTATTTTATGTTTAAAGCTTAAATGGATTGAAGACATAAAGGACTTGCATTTTATTTCACTAAAAAACAGGTTTCTTCCCGTTGAGAGTGTGTGTGTGTGTGTGTGTGTGTGTGTGTGTGTGTGTGTGTCTTTCCAAATAAATACTGCTTGCTCTTTAAACACAGGTAACTGAGGGGGGATTTGAGCCATCTTGTCCACTCCTCACCCACCTCCCCCAGCTCTACCCCCACCGCAGATCCCCAGTGCTCCACCTCCTCTCCCAGGTCAATTGTTGCTTTATAGCTGGATGTTTTCTAGGCCACCTTCTCGGTTCCAGGTGGCAGAGTCCCTTGCTTCCCCCCCACCCAGTCCAACACATTGTAACCTAGAGTTCAAAGACAGTGAAAAGTCAGCAGTTGGAGCCTCTGTTGGTTGGAGAGAATGGGAGGAGAAAGAAACAGAGACAGAGAGAAAAGAGAGAAGCGCTTCAAGCAAGTTTTCAAAGCTGCTTGCCAAGAGGTAGTATGCAAACAGACACCCACCTCCCCTCCCCACCAGCCAAATAAGGATCTGGGAGAAAGGCCTCTGTGCTCTCCTTCTACTGCCTTAGCGGGGAAGGGGAGACACACCTGATAGCCCTTTTTGAACTCTGGCTTCTGTTTAAGGATGTTTAGAAGGCTTCTAGCTTTTAAAGGGCAAGTGCCCTGGTTGGTGCCCCATCCCCCTTCAACTCTTCCAGGCCACGAGGGACTGGAGTCCAGTGATCACAAAGGTGACATGGTTTACCTTTGAGGTTCGATGTCCCTACAGTGGAGGCGGCTGGAGAAGAAGCCTGGGCGAAGCAGTTGAAAGCTGCTTGTTCACTGGAGGACTCATCAGAGGTCCCATTCTCCTTTTTGTGTCTTTCATCAAACACCCTCATGGACTGCAGGGTGAGCTGTTTTCTGTGGCAGAAGCCCACACCCAGGTTACAGAATGTAACATACATTTCCCCTCTTTGTTTCCCTTACCCTTTCCAAAGCGGCACACACATACCTCACACCCTGCCTGCTGCCCAGGGACAACGCTAATTCACTGAAATCTGCTTGCCCCAGGGCAGCCACATAGACCCAAGCTTTGTCCTTGACCCTCTAACTGGGCTGAAGAGTGTGGCAGAGGGTTAGGGAGAAAGGAAGGAGGCTTCAGTTGCATTTATTCAAGATGGGGTTTCATTAGGAAAAGGCATTTGCTTGGGCTGTGAAATTTTATTTAAAAGCAGGAGAAGAGGCTGGATCTAGTCAGAGACAGCTGGACTGCCAGCCTTATATAGGGAGAACCGGGTGTCCAATCCTGCAAACACAACGCTGTCTGTCCCCAGCATACCCAAATTTTGGATGGTGGCTAAGATTGGGAGGAAGTGGTTATTTCATGCTGCACTTTACTGTAATCGTTTTACTAACAAATTAATTGGAATAAAAATATATTTAGCTGTTAGCAATTATTTTTTAATGCCCGCCCCAAGGGGATAGGTTAAAAATTTGGGGGTGATTTTCTGGATTTTAGAAATTCTTTGAAAGGGGGTGGGGGAGGGGAGACCCTCTTTCATATACTCTCCAGCTGTCTACGTAATGCAAAATGATACATGTCCCCACGAAGGAGGGAGAGAGCCATACATCTTTCCGAAGTCCCCAGCTCTGTCTGATGGTATTTGGAAGACAGGATTGCAAAAATTCCCAAGTATTTTCTCAATGGCATGGTTCTTTCTGGGACCTGCCTAGGATGAACTTAAATTAATTAGGAATTAATAGGCATCCCTGTATAATCTATTATCCCTGATGCTTCTCTTCCAGAGATAAGTATGGTGTAGCCTAGTTAATTTCCTTAAAGGTAAGGAGGTAGGAAAAGTACTTGTCCTGGGTATACTGATAGCGGCAAGCATGTAGCAGTGGGGAAAGTGAATGATTTCCACCCGCTCTTAGGATAAGTGCCTGCATCTCACTTCTAACACTTCAGAGTTGGATCCTAAAAAAAGGGATTTTTCTAAACTATCTAATAAATAATTGTTTCAACTCACCTTTTTTCTCTTCGGCCATTTCCAGTGTCCCGGAAACCTTTTGCAAAAGGGTTGTTGTCTATTTTTAACTGGGTTATCTATTGGAAGAGACACAAGCAAGACAGAGACATTGTTCTCATTTTCTAGAATGTTTTGAGGGTGTTTTTCCCAACTCAACAAGTCTAGAGATGTGACTGCCAACAGAAGTCATATAGATATGCCAGGGAAAGGAGATAATAAGGAAACTGTGGCAGGGCTTGTATCTCCTATATGAGGCCAAACCAGGGATTTGGGGATGAAATTATTCAAAGAAATTCTTTTCTTTGGGCAGCCAACAGTTTGGGTTTAGACATGGAAGTGTTGTCAAAGTCATCAAGAGGGAAAACCTGTAGATCTTAAAATTATGCTTTCATTTTGATTTTTATACAGTGCAATTAATCATAAATTATAGCATACTCCCTTCACACACACACACACACACACACACACACACACACACTCCTTTTCCATGAATCCAATAAATGATTTATGGGGTTTCACTACCCTTGTGCGGGAGTGAGTGCGGGAGTGAGTTTAATTTTTTTTTTCTTTGCCTGGGGGGTGGTTTGAGGAAATTACAATATTGACAGTTACAGTACTGAATGACCACTGGAAACATCTGTTTTCATTTATATGCTCTGCCATGGCCATTAGGTGGAGAAGGCCCATGGCCTTTTTGTCTGATCAAAAATGCTACATTTTATTATTACATTAACAACTTCATTTCACAGGATTCTGGGTCTAGAGGGCACATGCATTTTGCACTTTGAGAAAAATGCTATAGTGTGTAATCTTTCAAATCCCTTCCCCTTGGTGGGAAGAAGAAGTTATATACACAGAGTTACTCAGAGGTGGAAAGGGGGACCCTTGGTTGGATTCATGTTCTTGGAATAAATTGCTCTATTGAAGACTTCAGGTTTCACAGGGAGAGAAGATCATGTTTTGGTATTCACACTAAAGAAATTTAGCTGGAACATCCCCATCATGAAGTCCACAGAGGACCCAAGGACAGTGACAATGACAGTGAGTTCAAAATGAAGTGTGTTGTCAGGTAAAATGGACTCTCTTTGAAGTCCAGGATTGCAGAGCAGGGGTCTTCAGTCCCTCCTCCCACCCCATAACTGCTAACAGCCAATCTGGGAACTGGTGAATCAGCAGTAAGGGTCACTTTTTCTGTGCCCATGACCTTCAGGCCACCATAGCTCTAGATATCAGGTGCTTTCCCTTTTGGGGATCCTTCTAACCTCCAGATTCAGGCCTGGGGGAGGGGGGGAATTCAAATGAAGTGGTGACTTTGGCCACCCCAACTCAAAAGCCTCAGACAACTCGATTAATATGACCCTGTGATCAGGGTAGGTTTTTCCAACCACACGCATGCATGCACACACATGCACACACACACACACATCATAACACAGCAGCATAAAAGGTAATAAAAACCAGACCAGCTACTCAGGATTTCTGGCTAGGGGAGAAAAGCTGGTCTCTACTAGGATTCTCCTCCCAGGATCCCAAATGGCTTTTGCCTTAAATTTTTAGCTGGTTCCTTTTGAATGTGACTTCTTGATCCTTCTTCCCCAAGGGGAAGAAGATGAACCTTAAAACAGACAGGACAAAGCCCAAGAGGGGGGGAGGAGTGGGTGGCATCAATGACAGCAGTTCTAGGAGTTTCTCTGTGGCAAAATTAGTATGGCGTTTTTTTGCTCAGCATTGTTCCTACCTAGTCAAGGTGTTTTTCTGTCTCCTCGAGGTGTCATTGTCCTTTCCCCCCAAATGCTCCACAAATCACAAAAGACAACTCAAGACTCTCGTCTCCACTCTCTTGTAACTTTCTCATCCTGACTTAAAGCAGCTTTTAAGGGGAAGGCAAAATATCACCATTAAAAAGGAAAGCCCCTTGAGTTTACCTTATCATTCTGGTATGCAGTCACAGCGATGAATTCAGTTTCGGGGAACAAGTATGTCCGAAATGTACTATAAGGGAGTTTCAAGATGTCATTGGCTCTTACAATGTGGAACCGGGGCTGGTATTTGTGCATGGAGTTCAATATAGTCTGCAGGGGCAGGGAAGAGGAGACATACATAAAACAAGGATTTAGCAGAACAAACGGGATCTTAGGACCCCTGCCAGGCTGAAATCTTCCCCACCGCAGGGTACCACGCTTGTACCGAGCCCACCTCCTTGGAGTACCCCCTGGGTACGTTTCGCTCCACAGATGTTATCTTCTGGAGAATCCAAATTGCTCCTCAGTTGCCAAAGGGCCCCCCCCACCCTCACCATCTAAGGATCATTCATACCTTGAACCCTAGCCTACCTGAGTACCAAAACTATAATTCCCCTGCCACGTAGCGTGATCACTTGGGAAGGCCAAAGTCTTAAAAGATAGAGAAAAACATGCATTTTAATTTACAAAATGATTCAGTACTTTAAGCGCCCACTAATTGACGAGCCCAATCCACTTAAAGCCCTGAAAGGCTGAACTCTAGAGAGGAATATTTATGCCTTAATCAAATCAAGGGCTTCAAATGCAATTCCTGCCCGCTGAAGATATTTCCGCGCCATTCGCGTCTTCCTGGGCCTAATCTTTCTGCTTACTCCTTGCTTATCACGCTGTTTATTTTATTGAAATGTTGGGGAGGGGTAGGAAAAGGCGCAAAAGGTCCTTTGCCTGATATCTACAAGCAATGAAAGTTTTCTAAGTTTCTAAGCACTGTCACTGAATCCATATATACACTCCCAACACACAAACCATTTTTTTCTGAAGATCTAAGCCTCATTTAGGGTAAGCCGGACTCCCACCTAAGCCCAATTCTTTTTTTAGTAAAAGAACGAGTTTTTAAAAATGTATTCACACCATTTAACCAACAGAGTCAAGGCTCCGAAACGTAAACTCTCCTGAGAAAATAATATCACTGGTTTCAAAACAGAAGTATGATATTTTAAAACAAAACAAATCCTTTAGGAATACATAGCCTTGAAATTGATTTTAGCTCTTAAAAAATGGTTTTTAACTTCACTCTCAGGTCAGGAATCTACCAAAGAGCTGGAATTGCTATAGAACACAAGCCGGTAAGTTTTCTTGCCCCATTTCTTTTAGAACGCCAGGCCTTCCATTATTTGGAGAGAAACACCCCGAATCCTTTTTCCAGACGAGGACAAGTTTGCTATGCTTAGGGAGAAGCAAAGGAGAAGTCTGGGCTGAAACTCATGAAATGGGAAGCACTGCCTTTGACTGAGTGAAGGAGGAGAAAATTTTACTGAAGAGAGCAATGAAACTTACAAATCCATGTTTGTCTGAAATGTTGTTGGTGAGTTTCAGTTTGTGGAAAGTGACGACTTTGGACATCCACTGTTCCCCAGTAGCGGGGCTGTCCGGGTGAATGTACATCCTCTTTGGCATTTCGGGGTCGGCCTTACCAGCCACCATCCACCGAGAATTGTGAAATTTATAACGACAGTCATCAGCAGCTATAATGTCCATCAATAAAATGTATTTGGCTTTTTTATCCAGCCCAGAACATCTCACTTTAAATGGAGGAAACATTCGCCTATAAAACGAAAGAATAGAAAAGAAAAAGAAAGATAAACCACCCGTAATCTTGGGTTTGATTTCCTATGTATCACATAATATTGAAACCAAGTCTAAGACTTTATATTGTGACTGATAAGCTTACATGTTTCAGAGTGAGGCAACTGGTTGCAAAATCGTTTTCTTCCACAACTAACGTATTAAATATTCTCAGTTTCGCCATATTTAGACGTCCCAAGGTTCAAAACAAATGCATTGTGGCACTGCAATTCTCTACATTGTCTAACAATTTCTTCAATATTTTTTTTGTCCTTGCTTGACTTTACAGATTGCCCTCCTGAGAGCAAATTCTTGCCCATGTCTTTTTCTGTGGGTATCTAGATCTAAACAGGTTGGGGTAAGATTTTTGTAAAGCGCGGTCAGTTAAGACTAGAATTTTCCACCACCCATTGATGAGAAAATGTTAAACTTATCAAGGAAATGAACGTCAAGTTGCACCCCTCCCTGCTGCAGAATAGCAATCCCGCTGTGGGCGAAGTGAAACTGGACTTCAGTGAGTTCCCAGAACGAATTTTGCAGACTTCGGTGCACTCCTGGGCCTGATAACCGATCTGCCCGTGGAGCTGCTAACACATTCCCCCACTTCTTAGGCCAGTCCAAAACCGCAAGACTGTGCCACCACATTGCTGTTAATTTCACAGAAGGGTTGGCATTCTGTAGTCTTGACTTAAAAGGAAGCAAGGAAGCACTTTGCTGGAAAACTGACTAAATGTCTTGTGAGTTTGAGGAGGATTTTATGCCAAACTTTGGCCTCATTTAGCTTGGAAGGAGACAGAACGCTTAAGATATCATGAAGGGGATTTTATTTTTGTATCAACTTTATGCCTTTACAGGCTTCAATGCTATTACAAAAAAAAAATCAGTGATTTTAAATGACTATTACAGGATCTTCTCTTCCAGGCAGGTTTTGGTCAGGCAAGGACCTTTAAACATTATGTAAAATATGGTTGATAATATTCACACATTAAAAAAAAGGTGTGTGTCTCCTCACTGGCTCCTTAAGTCTGCAAACATAATCTTAAATTATGCAAAATTGCCTGCTGAACTCGCCCTTGGGTTACAGACACGTGAAGTAGTGTGGGCAAACAAACCAAAATGCCCTTCGATTTCTCTCTGACCAGGGCAGCAGCAGGCCCCTTTAGACCCAGAGGCTAGACTGGAGGGCAGAAAGGGCCGGGGAATGGTGTCAGGCCTCCCAATACCCACACAAAAGGAAAGGGCTTTAAGTTTTTCTCTCTGAGAACAAAATAAAACAGACAACACAACATCAACAAAGAAATAAGGATGTTCCAGGAGGGTTTGAAGAGTGAGTTTCTTGCAGTAGAGTGCCTTTTTTTTTTTTCTTTCCTGCTCCCTGCAGGGATGTCTGTGCTCCACTGAAAAATTCTGTCTGTTCGGGAGGGAACCCAGGATGCAGACCAAATGCAAGACCCATGCAGATGCCCAGGTAAGCTGAAATTTCCTGCCACCGGGGCAGGGCCTGGAAGTCTGTGCATACATTTCTAGGGGAACTAACTTTTCGTCCAAGCCGTAATAACCGACCAACCGACTGTTCTGGGAGCAGAGAAATAAAGGGAGGAAAAAACTCTCCAACAGCTTAGGGGAGGAGGCCCCCACTGCTTACCTTCCCGACTTGGTAATGACCATCTCGGTGCCCCGCTTGTGAAACTGATCCCAAAGTTCTTTAGCCTCCAGGTGCACCTTGGGGTCGTCCTCCACCTCTTCTTCGGGCTCCATGGTCTTCAAAGGCCTCAGATGCGCCTGGGGCCCCAGGGAGGAGAACGGGATGCCGGTCTCGGCCGCCCCCACCAATTGATCCATGATCGGCTTGGCCAGGGCGCCCGGCAGCGAGAGCGCCGCCGCGCCGTTGGGAGGCAGCGTCAGCGCGGGGAAGAACGGCGGCTGGTGACCCAGCACCGCGCTCATGGCGAAGTCCGGCGCCCGGTGAGGTAGGAACGGATGGTAGGCCATGCTTGTCCCAGGAATGACCGGATCTCTCATGGAGAGGCTCATCCACTCCAGGCGGGGCGCTGGGCTCCAGCCGGGGACAAGTCCGCAGCTGCTGTGTTTTGTTGTTTTTTTGTTGTTGTTTAACAGCAGCACATAATTCAAAAGGGGGGAAAAAGCAAAACAAAAAAGAAAGAAAAAAGAAAAGGAGGCAGAAATCACAACTAATGCACTTCAAAGGGAGGAGGGGAAGTGTCTTTTGGAGAATGGGAGGCCGCTTTTAAAGAGGGCAAGGCGAAAAATCAGCAAACATAGTCGCGCGGGTGACCGTCCTTGTGCCTTGCGTTTTTAAAAAGCCGCTCCTGAACGTCGGTTTCAGAAGCGAGAGGAGCGAGCAGGGTCTCGACTCGCGCCCGAGCCCTGCCGCTGAGCTCGAAATAGACACTCCAGCCCTGCGTCCCAGGAATCTCTCTCCAGCCCCTAGGTCTTTTGTTGCAAATGTGAAAGGTTCTCCTAGAAGACTTTTTACCTTTCTTTTTCTTCTTCCCCCGCCCCCTATCTGTCTTCCTCTCCCTCTTTCTCGCTGGTGGCGTCTGCAGCTGTGCTAGACCCGGCTTTAACAGGGAGCGAGAGAGCGGAAAAAGTCTCTCTCCTTTAAAAAAAAAAAAATCTGATTTAAACCCCCTTCTACCAGCGCTATCAAAACTTGAATTGCAAACTGGCTTCCGTTCGCCGCCCTCCTCCTCCTTCCTCTGCTCCGAGCCTCCGGAGGGTGTCTCGGTTTCAATCCAAATCTTGCTGGGCTCTTCTCCCGTGCCTCTCTCTCTTCCTTGTCCTAAAACGTGAGCGAATTCGCTTCCTAAATCTGTGTCCAGGCGCGCAGGGCAGGGAGGATTTAGAGGGGGAAAAAATGGAACAGAGGGAAAGAGAGGGAGGGGAGAGAGAGAGAGAGAGAGAGAGACGGAGTCGGAGAGGGAGGGAGCGAGAGAAAGCGAGAGCTCCTCGCCACCCTCCGCCGCCTCTAGAATTCACCGGGCGTCTGCTCGGCGGCTCTAGAAGGTCGGGCTGCGCTGTGGGCTGCGGGGAGCCGGAGGCCTCTTGATTGGCTCTTTGACGCTTTCGGACCAATTGTGTTGCTGCATAGGCGTGGTTTTCACAGGTCGAGTGCTGGGGGATAGAGCTGAGTTATAAAAAGAAGGTGTCGGAAACTGTAACGTCGCAGCGCCGCATCGGTACTACTGCCTGTCCTGTGAATATGTCAACATGATCAGAGGGCGGGCGGGAGCCACTGGGGAGCGCGCGCGCACAGAGTCGCCTCTAGGTGGCTTATCGAGAGATCGCTGCAGCCCCTGAGCTCGCTCGCTCGCTCTGGTTCAGCCCACGTCTGAAATGCCTCAGTCATCCAGCCGGGGATCGAGGGAGGAGGCAGGGCCAAGGAGGAAGGGGGAGGGAGAGAGGGAGGGAGCCAGCGAGCAGGCGAGCCGGGCGGGGAAGGCGGAGAGCGCGCCCGGGCGCCGGGCAGGGGCGCTCGCCTCTCTTGCACTCCGCTCGCCTCTCCGACCGCCGCGGCCGGTTCTCTCTCCAGCTCTCCTTCTTCTCCCCGCCCCGGGCGAGCCGGGCGGGTGGCCGAGCCTCCCCGCGAGCTGCCATCCGGCCACTCGGTTCTACAAAAGCCGGCGGCAGCCGAGAAGCGAGCGCCGAGACTCCAGGCTTGCGTGCTCTCCAGCCCCACGTGGAGCCAAGCTCCGCCCGGCCGCCGCTGAAGGGCTCCCGAGCTCGGGTGTCTCGGTGCTGGTCTCCCCTGCGTCTGGGCTGGGGGAGCACAAGGATGCGGCCATATCTCAGCACACGCATGTGTGGGCTTCCTCTCCACTGCGCCCCACCCGCAGCCATGTGCGGGTACCCAAACACCCCCGGTGTATCTGTACTCGAACACGCGCCAACACACTGGGACTGAAACACACACCGAAAAACACGTACACACAAACACGTACACAGCCTGCGCGGCTGGCCCTGCCTGAGCTCCTGGGGAAGATGGATTTGGGATTTTTATGAAATGCATTTACCAGCCCTTTTGGATCTCGTCTTTCATTTGCATGCGGGCCCCCATATTCCACCTGGATGTGGGTGTGGGTGTAGAGAAGAGAATGGAGGATCTGGACAAAGCGAGCACAGCGAGAGACTGGGTTCTGAGCCTGTCCCCTCCAAGCCGCTGCCCTCACCTCGAGGCCCGGCTGGGTGCACAGCACAGGGTAAGGGGTGGGCGATTGGGTTGGGGGAGGCGCGCCAGCCTGGTATCTTCTCTAGGCATCGCACTTATCTCTCGGTGCCTCAGTTCTTTCTCCACCCCGGGGACTTAATCTGGCCAGAAGTCGGGGAGGGAGGGTGAATTTGTAAAACAAACCGTGAAACGCCCCCACCTCAGAGGCGAGTTGACTGTTTTTAGTACGGGTAGGGTGGGGGCCTCCTCTTAGGCGGACGGGAGGGAAACGACCGGATCTTACCAATCGCCGAATTACCAACTCTGTTACCGCAGCGCCCGGTCGGGGTCAGAGGATTCGCCTAAGCCCACAGTTCTTGATTCTGGGGGCCAATGTCTTGGACCATCCTTGCTTAGATGGAGGGAAATCTTGAAAACAATGTTCTTTTATCTTTCCTGAGATGAAAGCTTCTTCGATGGAAAGGGAACGGAGAAAGGGCTGATCTGGGGGCTTAGGGGTTTAAGAGACTCAGGGCTTTGGATGTGTGTGTCTCTGTAGGCCAGCACAGGCCTCTCTCGCATTTTGCCTTGTGCACCCGCGCAACCCCCAGCAACCCCGAAACCCCAACGTGGCACCAAGGGAAGGGTGAAAATGAAGTGCTCTTGTGGGCCAACCACGCTGAGATAGGGGAGGATCTTTTGAGGCGACAGGCTTCTCCAGCCTCGCATTTTTGACGCACATGGTTAAGAGAGCTTGGCGCCAGCGTTGAGAATTCCCTGAAGTCACCAGAGAGAATAGTGTGGTTCTGCGAACTCCGTCTGGCTCGCCATCTCGCCCCTTTCTTTCCCTTTCAGTCTGTCTTTCTCTGGCGTCCTCTCTGTCTCTGCCAGTGGTTAAAATAGAGAAAGGAGAGAGAGGGAAAATTACGAGGTGGTGGTGCCCCAGAGTGTTGGCTCATAACACCCCCTCCCGCATCCCCTCCTCCCCACCTGAAGGGTGCGAAAGGCCAGGCCATTTCCCGCCTTACACAGAACACGGAAGTCACTGCAGGGTTTCATGAGTCTCTGGGGACCCCCGCCCCAAAAAAAAGAAAAAGAAAAGAAAAGAAAGAAATAGAAAAAAAAAGTGCACCCCCTCCCCCAGACTGCTCGCCTCCGGGGCCTGGGGCCCCTTCGCTGCTCTTTCAAGAGCGGCCCCAAATCCCAGCGATCTGGTTTTGCCTGCCTGCCCTCGCAGGCCAATCTCTGCCCCACTACTTGGGGTGGAAGCAAAGTAGTTCTACAACCACACTGTGACCGACCTCCTCCTCACCCACTCGGTGCCCCCAAGCGTCCCACGCACAGCAGAGAGACATTCCTCTGCATTCTGGCCAGCTGTCAGCTTTGGAAATGGGAGGGGAGCTTGCGGATTTTACTTAAAAATGTCTAGATTTGTTTTTGGCTCCGCGGGTGGACTGAGAGGGAGTTCTGCCCCTCACACTGTCCTCCTCCCTCAATTGCCTATTTTTTGCCCATAGCTCTAACTTAACCCTGTGATCACCCCAGATCGCTACTTCTGACCCCCATCTCCTCTCCCACACCAACCTCCAGCGCGCGAAGCAGAGAACGAGAGGAAAGTTTGCGGGGTTCGAATCGAAAATGTCGACATCTTGCTAATGGTCTGCAAACTTCCGCCAATTATGACTGACCTCCCAGACTCGGCCCCAGGAGGCTCGTATTAGGCAGGGAGGCCGCCGTAATTCTGGGATCAAAAGCGGGAAGGTGCGAACTCCTCTTTGTCTCTGCGTGCCCGGCGCGCCCCCCTCCCGGTGGGTGATAAACCCACTCTGGCGCCGGCCATGCGCTGGGTGATTAATTTGCGAACAAACAAAAGCGGCCTGGTGGCCACTGCATTCGGGTTAAACATTGGCCAGCGTGTTCCGAAGGCTTGTGCTGGGCCTGGCCTCCAGGAGAACCCACGAGGCCAGCGCTCCCCGGACCCCGGCATTAGGCGCCAGCTGCCGGCTATCTGCGGTCTTTTTCTCTCTGCAGACCCCTCGATCCTCTTTCCTTCGGTCTCACACTCAACAAAAGACAGACTAGAGACGTTGAAAGAGCCTGCCCTTCAACAGAGTCCCAGAAAAGGGTGACTTAAGGGGAGGAGAAGGGAGAAAGAGGGCAGATTCCGGGTCAGAAAAGACCCAGATAATTTCTGGCGTCTCTGAAATATTCCTCCACCTTTTCGCAAAAAGAGTTTTCACTTAATTGTAGCTCTAGAATTAAAAAAGTAAATTAACTGAAAAACCTCTCTATCTGCAATGCCCGCAGCATTTAAAGTAGTGCGGGTGCAAGTAGGCGAGTGTTAAAGCTGGGTGGGGGGAGGACCCTGAAAATAATGTTCCTTTGTGGGGGTGGGGTCGGGGTGGGGGTCGGGGGAAACAAAACCAAATCAACTGTCCTTAGCCCAGGCCACGGTGCCAGCAAAGAAGCTGGCCTTGCCCGAGACGGAAGCTTAGCCCACGCCACTTTTCCCTGCCGCACTGCCTGCCTCAAACTATAAAGGGGACAAACCGACCCTTTTGTGATCAAATGGTGTTTATCTGGAGTTTACAAAAAGGGCGGGGAGGAGGGTAAAAGGATGGTGGGTAGGCGGGGTCGTTTGCTTTGGCCAGTTTGCTGTAAATATTCCCTTCAGCATGTGTGAGGTCTGGCAAGGGAGTATTATATGCTTATTCCCTCTTAAACTTTCACCCCCGTTTGCCGCAGAGCTCTTTTCAGTCCGAGGTGTCACTAAATTGGGAATTCTGTTGACAGAAGGGCATCCAAGATTCACCGGGGGTATGAGACCTAATTAAGAAGTTTCATACAGGGGTGGGTTCATATATGAACTTTTCCTGGGGGAGGGGCGTTCTGGTCATCCTGGCAGTTTGGCAATGGCTCCTCGTTTCTGCCCAGTGCCCCAGCCCATTTGATCTCAGGATCCCAGCCTCTTTTGATATTGACGAGCTTTGAAACTGACCAGGTGCCTGCCCCCCAAGGGCTCCCATTCTCTTTCGGGCTCAATTCTCCCACCTGAGGAAGTGATTTTCTTATCACGGATCCCAGGGAAGTAGCTCTCTAGTTTACTGTTTGTGGTCCTCCTGCAAATTGCCCTAGCACCCCCTACCCCTCTGGGGTACATACATTAGCACTGCTATGCTACCCTGAACCCTGACTCTCCCCCTGGCAGTGCTGAACCCAGTGGAGGCTTGCTCTTCCTCCAGGAGTCTCCACTCACCATGCACCCCCATCCCTTCCTCCTCCCCAAAGCTTGCTTTGAGAGCTTAGTTCCTCTCTGGTCCAGAAGCTGCCTGTCAGTCCCTTGGAGACAGGCTGGACTCCCCCACCTTTCCTCCCTCCAGGGCAGACACTAGCTTCTTGGTTGGACCAGACAGACAGGGCAGGACATTCACCTTTTGTTTCTTTTTCCATTCCTTTCTTTCTCCTCCCCACCACCCCCCCCCCCCCTTTTCTTTTGGTCTCCTTGTCTTTCTGCTCATCCCCATTTAGGATTATTTGAATGCGTGTCTGGAATCTTTCTTATTCTTTTTCCTTCTACTTTCTCTTCTCCTCCTTTCATCAATCTTGTTCTTGGTTTCTATTTCTCTTTCTTGTCTTGTATCTATTTCCCAGGCTTTAACTTCTCATGTTTTGTTTTGTTTTTTTTTTTTTTCTACCTTCTTTATCCTATTTTTTCTGGCTGTTTTGGTCCTGTCTGAATTCTCTCCTGTCTTTCTGACCTGGTGCCTCCGTACTCTGCCCCCTTTCCCTCCCTCATCTTTCCCAGCAACCATGACAGCCTGGAGATCCCTCTTCCTGGGGCTGAAGCAAACACCTTCCCCTCTCTTCCTTGACTAGAAAGATAAAGTATCTTGAGAGATAGAAAAACATTGTGTGCATTTGCCTAGAGTGGCAGTTTTACCTTCTCCTCTTGGCATTTCCAAAGCCACCCCTTTCTCCAGAGTTGAACCCCATCTTTGCTCCCTAAGCTCTAAGGCCACCTCCCCATCTTTTCCAGAGCAGGAACCTAGGGTGAGGAGCTGCAAGTTAACCTAGGAACCTAGGGTGGGGAGCTCTATAGCCCCCAGCTCCCAGCTTCCTACTTGCCCCAGCAGCACGGAGCTTTCCTGTAACACACATTTCCCCTATCCTCTGACATTCCTCTAAATTATTGATCTGGGCAATTTGGTGCAAGCGTCTGTAGCATGTTTCAGAGAGAGAAGACTGAAAGTTGTCTAGCTTGGAGAAGCAATATTTTTAGTACAGAGGCTCAGTTTGTTGCCAGTTGGTTTATGCCGTTTCTAGAGCATCATTCGCTATGCACTTAATCCATGCTCATCATACCTCCTTAATGTAAATATGTTTTTGGCAGAGGCAAAATGAAAACATTTTGCCCTCCATATTATTCTTATTAGCACCTACCTTTCCTCAAAGCTGATCACCCTGCAAAATGGCAAATTTGTACACAGCCAGTGATTTAGATAAGTTAGAAGGGAAATGAGAGAGGTAAGATTGAAGGATGTGTGTGTGTCTGGGGAGAGTGCTTTTTCTACATCTGTGAAGGTTTTTTCCTCTCTCAGGAAAGGGAACCAATTGTGGTTTCCTAATTTCAAGTCAATCTATATCTTCAACCTTCTCTTTGTGTGTGTGTGTGTGTGTGTGTGTTTTACCTAATTACTTTAAAAAAAAAGATAATGCAATGGGCATTATTAGGCCAGCAGAAATGAATTCACAAGGAAGGGGCCAGGAATTTTTTCTCTCATTTTATCTGACCCAGAACCACCAAGACACAGGCCAGAGCTGACTTTTGCCCCAGGCACTTTTGACCACCCAGCACCTTTCTTTCTTCAACATCCTCTTTCTAGATTTTCAGTCGAGACAGGTAAGGGTATAAGTGGCCTCTCAGAGGTTTGTATCAAAATTTTACTTGTAGGGTAGAGGGACTAAGTGACAGAATACTTTAAGAGGGTGGAGGAGAAATTTAACAGTCCTCTCATGCAGACGGAGGGTGACATTCAAATGGGAGAATTTACTTCTGTGGTTTGCTACTGTTTCATTCTTTCCCTTATCATTGGTAGTGTTGTTAGGTGGCAGGGTTGTGGGGCAGAGTGGGGTTTCGCCCTGGGGGAGCATATGTGGCAGAGGGCACAGGAAGATCTGTAAGCAAGAGGGCATAGCAAATTAAATGACCACACTGTCAGGAAGGTTGACAGGCCAAAGAAAGATCAGCTCCTCCAAATCTGCTGAACTAACTCTCCCCTCGTAGCCCCAGACACGTTTTCTCAATTTGAGCACAATATCCATTACTATTTCCCGTACTGGGTTTCAATTAAAGAGAGTGAGAGTAGAAAGTTCACTGGTGTTTGGGGGTTCATTTATTTCCAAGCAGGATGCAAATGAAAGGGAGCCGTGGGCACAGAGTTGTCATGTGTGTTTTTCCTCCCTCTTCTTTCCATTTCCTTCTTGCAACCTTCCCTCCACTTCTTGCCAGCCACCCAGCACACCCGTGTTCCCAAAGCAAATGTTTTCATGTCTTGAAAATCCAGTTAGGGTGAGGAGAGAAGGAAGGTGATAACATCATACCTACTGATGCCCCCTAGAGATGAAGCTGTCCTGGGGGCACTTAAGGCTTGAGGGAAGGATTTACCTTCTCGAGATGGGCACAGGAATTGGGGTAGTGTGAGCACTTGAAGGGTTCCAGGTTTTACTGTTGCACTGAAAACAGATGCAATCCCTCCTGCTGTAACATGCCCCTATGGAAAAAATCTAGCCTTCTGTGCAGTTATCCTGTTTTGGTCCTAGAACACAGGGTGGTGATCTTGCTTCTCTGGGGGGTGCCAGGCAAATAGAAGACGTGAAAATCTGCTGCCAAGGTCAGGATGTAGGTCCTGGATTCAGGATCTTGACCCCAGGCCTGCCCTGTCACCGAGCAGTGGTCTCACAACCAGGCAAACTCTCTGGCCAAACTCACTTCACACAAACTTGAGCTGAGCACCAGCCCTCCAACCCCCTCCACCTTCTATGATCACTGACTTTGTACCATGGCCACACAGACCACTGGGCAGAAGAGTAGCTGCAGGGTGTCGGTCTTAATTTCATGACACTCTGCGTAGCCTCCTCCTCCTTCCACGTCAGCAAAAGAAACTAGAGGCCTCAACAATGTGACTGTATTTTGAGTTGGGATGTGTCCCTCCCAAATCAATCATCCCGGCTCCAAATAATACAAACAAATTCTACATATTTTAAAATGTCCCAAGTCTTGTATGATATCCAGGGACCGATTAGTGCCGACTGGAGAGACTATTCCCTCTCCCATTCCGAATAAAGGGTTAGGTGAAGGTTGTGGCCCGAGAGATCCCAGAAGCCCTTAAAAGTCTTTAGCTTGGGGTTTGAATAATGAGGGCTAGATAAGTTTGTTTTCTCTTCCTTTCAAAAATTTTTTTATTTTAGAGGAAGGGGAATGAGGAAGGCGCACGCGCGCGCTCACACACACACACACACACACACACACACGCAGAAAGAGAGAAAATGTTTGGAATTGTGAAAGTGCCTTTCCTAGTAGTTGCTTTTACTGGCGCCCGGGCCTCAATTCATTTCATCTCTGAACCAGATACTAAAAATCCTCCAGGCGAGTGGAGAGGACCGGCCTTCCTGGATCGGGAACCTGCCCTCTGTCTTCCCTCGCAGCGCCCTTTCCTCCTTTCGCTTGGGAAAGGAAGATTTCGAGCCCCAGGAAGGAGTTGGGAGTGAGCGACAGCCCAGAGCGTCCCATAAGGTCCTTTTGGCCATGTTTCTGCCCCGGGGGGCTTCACCTAGATCCCCCACCCCACCCCTTACCCCTGTTGCAAATACGTAAGCTGGACGCGCCTCGGTGCGGATCCAGGCCTCGCTGAGCACGGAACCGGAGAAGCAGCTCACGGCCTCGGATTCTACTCTCACCCAAGGGTGGAAGGGGGTGACAGGGCTCGGATCTTGCCCCAAACGCTGCACAGGCCCGCAGGAGAGCAAAGAGGTCTCGGACAGGCTGTCCTTCCCCAGCTCTCGGTCGCGACAAGGTCCCGACAGGCCCGGGAACCGGCGAACCGCCTGCAGGTAACCCTGCGCTGGGTACCTGCCTTCCCTCTCCAGCTACCGGGGCGGGGCGCGGCGCGGCGCGGCGCGGCGCGGCGGGCTGCCCGGGTGGGGGATGAAGAAAGCACGGCGGACCCAGGGCAGCGAAGCGCAGGTCTTTTTCCTTTTGAGAACTAAGATCAAGATTGCAGGGATTCAGTTAGAAGCCGCTCACCTACCTCCACCTCCCACCCTACCCTGTCCGATTTGTCTTTTGCTGCCGCATTGATTGCTACCTTCCCCCCTCCCTTCGCTTGCAAAGGACACATCGGGAGTGGACGGTAAAGACCTTGCGGGGAGCCGTGGGGGGCGGGGAGGAGTAACCAAAAATGAAAGAGAAATGTAGGACTCTCTGTCTCCCAAAGTGGTGGAAAAGCAATTGCAAGGAGATGGCTCTCGGGAGAATAACAGGCTCAGAGAGAACGCAGCCGAGCGGGGGAATCTTCGTGCGCGAAGCCGGGAGGGTTGCGGGGAGGGAGAGTTCTCCTCTCCCACCGCTGGGGTGTGTTTTTACATGTTTTCTTAGCAGCAAGTTTTATAAACAGGTCAACCCTACGCTGCCAGCCCAGGGAGTTGGAGCCTGTCTCCGGCTTCTAGTGCCGACACCCCTCTTTCCCATTCACCCCTTGCAAGCCAAACGCGCAGAGTTGGGAGGGAGGGGAAACTTCCTTCCACTTCTGATGTGGGGGGGACATTTGCTTTTGAAAGGCTTTCCTTGTCTTCAGACGGTAAAATACGAGTTCTCCACATGTCTGAGTCTGGTACCTCAAGCATGGATGGATGGGGAAGTGGGGGGCGCTGCTCTAATGACCTCTGCGCTGGATGGGGGTGGAGTGGGGGATTCTCTCTTTTCAGCCTGGCCCTGCTGGGGTGCCGAGGGGCATTATTAAACCCAGACGCTCAGGCCAGGAGTTGGGGCCATGCGGAAAAGATTTACAGTTAAGCCAATTGGGGCCGAATACAGCCATCCAAAGTTTGCAGGTGTAAATAGTGCCTCGAATTATTGTTTTCTTCCTTTCCAAGCAACTTCATTGCCCGACCCCCACCCCCCACCCTTTCCCCACTTCCTGGGACTCTAATTCTTTTGAGAACAGGGAGAGGAGGAAGGACGGTATGGCACAGTTGGGATTTTTCTATCAGAGAAGTTAAAATACGATGTTGCATTCACTTTTATGTGTGCGTATTAATGCAGTGAATACAACCAGGACAGGCTCCTTCATCGCATGTCTCCATCTAGAATTTGAGAATTGTTGGAGTCAGTGAAAGACCTTTTGACTTCGACGTATGATTTTTTTTTAAGGGAGTGGAGCAGACTTCTGTAAAACAGGGATATTGCAGTTGAATTATGAAGTTTCTGAGTTGGGGAGATTGGGTGAGGCAGGAGTAAAATGCAAAAGAAATCCCCTCTGGTAGGGATACAAGAAGATTGCTATAGATGGAATCTGAAGGGGAGGTGAGGCTGGCTTGCTAGGAAGAACAGAGTCACAGACCTTTCTAGTGCTTCAGTTTAGATCTTCCTAACGTTTAGAGAGCTTACTGAGTCGTGTATAGGTCCAACCTTAAGCCCATCTCCCACTGCGTTATTTAAATGTCAAAGAATATGCATGTGTATTTCTAAACTGTTCTTTGTGGGTACCAGTGTGTATATGGACATTACAAGTAGCCCAGAATATAACATTAAATCTCAGATTTTAGAAATGCATCACAATCACACCCCATGGGCAGACTCCTGTTTCATCAATATAGACGGAACTAAATTTGTTTTGCAGCTACACAGTTACTCCTTTTCTCTTGCAGCAATAAAATCTGTCTGTTACAAATTACCAGGGAATTGGAGAATATACTCCCCACCCCCCACACACACACCACAACTGTTGTTCGGTGTTTTTAGTCTCCCACTAACCCACTCAATAATAGATATAATATGTGTGTACACAGGCACTTTTCCAAAAAATTAGCGATAACATTCTGGGCACATGAAGAGGGCGTTTTTCTCTCTTTCCATTTAGGATTTGTTGCAGACTAAGTTGCTACTCAGGAGACCCATTACCAGGGGGATTGGCACCCATGGGGCCTCAGGGAAGAAGCTGAACAGCCTGTATTGCATGCAAAGACAGGAAGTTAAGGCGCCTGATTCCAGTCAGAATAAGGGCATAGGTGTAGAATTAGTAAGACAGGACTTAACATGTCCACGGAGCTGCAAGCGTCACCCAGCCCAGGATGAACCCCTCAGCTGCCACAGGAAAGTTTCCAGGCAGTGGTAGTAAAAACACTTTTTCTCTCTCTCTTTAAAAAACTTCCCAGTCCAGTGCACATGTTGCGCATAAATAAAAGTGGCTAATTGAACACTAGGTGAATCTGAATCAGTCTGAAGCAGAGAAGGAAGTACAGGACCCAGGCTGGAGATGGAGGTGCCCCAATTTGCAGGGGTAGAGAAGGAGTGGATTGCTTCCCACTTGGAAACCTCTGCTCTTCGCTTCTGGAGAGGCTCATCGGGAACCCCTGCAGAAGGTGCCCTTGCAGTCTCCACTGGATGGCCCTTAGGGAAGACTTGGCTGGTGGACAGTGTCCTCTGTGTGCCCCAGAGGGCCTGGCCAACTGGTTGGGTTGGGATGAGGCCTCGGTTTTGAGCCTCTGCGGTGGCAATTCCAGATATACCAGGAGGCCGAAACTGCTCCTGGAGGCTGGGGCAGGAGAGGGCCACCTGGAATCTGCCAAATGTGGGAGCTGGCGCAAGAGAAGTTAGGTGCAAGCCAGGAAGTGGGGGAAGAGGGTTCTCAGTGCAAACTAGCATCTCATTTCTAAAGCTCTGCCTGCACTGCATTAACTTCTGTTTACCGGGAAAGGTGTTGAGTGAGTGTGAGTGTGTGTGTATGTGTGTGTGTGTTTTGCGGGAGAGTGGTCTGGAAAGGACCACAGCCAGACAAGTGTGGAGATCTGCAAAGGGTACATGGTTTTAGGAACCTCAGGGCCCCACATCCCTTTTTGCAAAGGCCAATCTGGTGCCTGCCCAGCCCTGGTCCACTCGTTAGAAATTGGAGTGGCTGACCTTACCCCGGAACCAATCTGAATTGTATCTGGAATTGGAAACACAGGACTGTGTTCTAATCTAATCTAATCTCATGGGCATAGGACCTCTTAGAGGACTGCTCAGTCCATTGTATTACTGGCTTCAGTAGTCATTTGAAAGATTCTCTGTCAAGGCGATTAAGACCTCAGCTGAGAGTGGAGCTGTGGGCTACAATATTAGGAAGAATAAATTCATCCAACACTTATTGAGCTCCTATTGTGTACCAAGCAATGCCCTCACCTTTATGATCTTGTCAAAAGTTAAAGAGCTAGGCAGCAAAGAAAAAAGACTACTAACTATAGCCAAATAAAGTTAATAGGCTACACGGTCTGTGCAGGAGTGTCTAAAATTAGGTTTCCTATTTTGTAAGAGATAGGGTTCCTCATCTCTCCAGCTCCGATCACAGTGCTCATAGCTAATGGCTGCTCAATAAATAATAATTCAATACAGGAATGAAAGTCAAGAAAGAAAGGGAGAGAAGGAGACTAAAAGGGGCATTTTCTCTGCATTTGTAAAACAAATAACCACTTCCAAAGTGCATTTTTAAAGAACCAGTATTCAATTTGTTAGCTGCTCTCCCAAACGGATTCTGATATATAAAATAAGATAGTGAAAAGCAGACTTATTCTAAGATGGTAGTGGGAAGAGAGGTTTGGTATAATGGATAGAAAATTCCACTCCATCATTGAACAGATATTTATTGAGAGTCTTCTAGGTGCCAGATAGTCTTCAAAGTATTGGAGACAAGGGAGTGAATAAAAGATGGGTCCCTTCCAGCTTAATGCTTATGGTCCTGAGTTTTGTTCACTCCGGTAAAAATATATTATTATTCCCATTTTGAAGATGAGGAAAATCGAGGCCCACGAAGAGTGGGACAGGAGAGGGCTTAATTTCAAGATCTCTGGACAGAAAGGTCAAACTCAATCAGCCTTAGCTCTTCCACGCGCTGTGGAGAGGTAGGGCTGGGTGATTTTTTTGCTCCTGGGAGCCTTGGAAACCCAGACAGCGTTACTGACCTGGTTGGCGGAGGTCACCGCGGGCGCCAGGCGTGCGCGGGAGCTGGAGCTTAACACCCAGCCGCTGTCCCGCAAAAGACTTTCCCGGATCTGCTCACCCCAGCTCCCAGCTCAAAGGCCCTAACTTCTAAACTCTCCGGTCCGTTTCTTGCACTCAGAGCACACACCTTGCCTACAAGTGGGTAGTACTGCCGCTCTGCACAAACAGAAAACTTTGGGATAGACAACTAGGGAGTCTTGCGCCTTCACATTGTTAAAAATTGACAGTAAAGAGGTTTCCATAACCCCTCCCCCGCCGCCAGGGTTTTATGCTTCTGTACAGACTTCTCCCCACCGCTAGTACCCCAATGCTCACCGTAGTCTCTGGCACATGCAGTGTGTTCATCAAATGTTTGTTGATTGACCAAATAAACTATTTTTTCTTTAATTTTTGTTTTAAAAACAGAACCAAACTAAAAAATGAATTAGTGATCGAATAAGAGGCAGTGGGGTGAGAAGCTCCTTTTGCCGACGCCCTGGGAGGGGGTGGAACCGGCTTAGGTCACCCATTCGTTTTCCAGCAGCCGCTGGGTTACTTCCCACCAGCTTTGCAAAGACGCCTGCGATTTCCTTTGGTCTACAGTTCTGTCCTAGACTTCGTTCGGCTGATCGATGAAGGAGACAAGCTGGCCCACGGGGAGGTCAATACAATCGATGCGGACCTCGACGAAACGGAAGAATCTCGCAGGTTCCTGCGTGCTGGGTTCCACTCAAAATGTTTCAGGATTTAGGGTTTCTGCCTCCTCGCTGTCATTATGGAACTGGACGGAGGATGGCGGTGGGTGGGTAGGAAGAAGCCTCAAGGCCCATTCAGATGAGCCTAGGGGTACACCGGGCCCGGAGAGCGCCCCCACCCCCACTTCCACCCAACTGGTGTAGCCCATACCACCGAGTGGTGAAATCATCAGAGCTCCCTAGTAGATTTCGTTCTTGAACTTCTCGGCCTTGGAATCAGACGCCCGGGTCATTGCGCAGCGGGGCCACACCCCTTAGCTCCGGGTTCCTCACCTGAGAAATGAGTTTCTTATAAAATGCGATTTATTGGCGAGAACATTTGTGAAATACTCAGGAAGATGACAATGTTCTAAGAGTTCTCCCACACATCGGCTCATCAACTACAATAATCTAATGAGGCAGGAGCCTTCTCAGTGATCTCCACTTTCCAGACGAGGAAACAGAGACACGCAGAGAAAGACAGAGGCTTGCCCGAAGTCGCACAGCCAGTGTTTTGGGGAGCTGGAATTTACCCTGGGGCTTGTCTAACTCGAGTCCGACTTTTAACAGCAAAACAGTAGGAGTCCGATACACGCACACAGTGGGTACACAGTAGCGATCTGTTTTCTTTATATCTTCGCCCTTTAGGAAGAGAAATTCCATCTAACCCTTTCCCCGCGCAGATTTGAAAACTGCCTGTATTCTTTGGTCCCTTCCTTCTGGAAGCAAATGCAATTGGTGGGTGGGGAGTGCGAGTCTGACAAAAACCTTCTTAAACTCTGGAAATCCAGATCTTTACCGCCCCCTCTTTTTTCAGTACGAAGGAACGAGGGGAAAGTGCGCGCGCGCGCGCGCGTGTGTGTGAGTGTGTGTGCGTGTGTGTGTGTGTATGCGCACGCATGTGTGTCTAGAATCAATACGGCCCAGACAGCCCTTCACAAAGGGGCTCCAGGCGGGCGCCTCCGCGGCACAGCCTCCGCCCCACCGCCCGCGGCGAATTAATTGGGCCCTGAAAGAAGGGGCGACATAGCTTCCAGTTAATTAGTCAAGAAATGAATCAAGTCCCAGCGGCCTGGCAGAGGCTCTTGGGGCGCGGGTTTTGTGCAAGCCACAATGGTCCGTGGGGCTCTCCCCTTGGGCGGAGTGGGGCGCGGTGGGGAACACAGCTTGGACGCCTAGGCGTCCTGAGCCCGGCACCCTGCGCGCAGAGCAGACCCAGGCGCTCTCGCGAGCTCTAGCGTCCGTCATGTTTCCTCTCTTCTTTTCTTTCTTTTTTCTCTTCTCTTCTCTCCTCTCCTCTTCTCTCCTCTCTCCCCCTTCCTTTCCCTCCTCTCTCTCCATCTCCCTTTCTCTCTCTCTTCCCCTTTCCCCTTCTCCCTCCCTTTCTATCTCCCCCTTCCTTTCTCCCTATCTCCCTCTCTCTCCCTTTCTCTTTCTCTCCTTTTCTCTCTCTCCCTCTCCCCCTTCCCCTCTCCATCTCTCCCTCTCCTGACCTCTCTCCCTCTCTCCCTCTCTCTCTCCTCACTTCTCTCTTTTTTTCCCCAGTTTTCACCATCACCGTCCCCCTTCCCCCTCCCTGGTTCTCTGCTGAACTTTGTCCAGGTTTCCTACCTGCAGGCGCTCCTCCCCTCACCCCAGCAGCGGCCCTCTCCAAACTCTCCTCCCTGAGGTTGCTCTTTCTAAAGCCTCAACCTCAGCCTGGCAGCACCTGGGGCTGGGTGGTTTCGGGATGTCGGGAATCCTTGACTTAGGGGGAAAGGATGGAAATGAGCCCTGGCTTTGGAGCCCAGAGGCCTGAGGTGTGTTGCTGGATAGGTTCTTCACCCTTGGGTCACCTTGGATTCACCCTCTCCAAGGCGGTTAGAACCCTCTGAGATCATTCAGGGCTTTGAAAGGGCTTGGTAATGGCGACCTGTGTCCTCACTCCACGGAGATTTAGAATTAAGGCAGACCTGCAACACAGGAGCAATTATTGAGTACCTGCGGTGTTCTCATCTAACATTTCTTCTCAAGCTCTCCCGCGTCAACTAAGGCACTGAAGATCCGGGTGATCGGGTGTTTTCGTCAGAAGCAGCTCTGTTGGGGGAAGGGAGGGCAGGCACAAATCCTAAACCCAATTTTTTTCAAGGCCTTTTTTTTTGAGACCGAGTCTCACTCTGTTGCCCAGGCTGGAGTGCAGTGGCATGATCTCTGCTCACTGCAACCTCTGCCTCCCAAATGCTAGCAATTCTCCTGCCTCAGCCTCCCGAATAGCTGGGATTACAGCCACGTACCACCATGCCTGGCTGCTAATTTTTTGTATTTTTAGTAGAGACAGGGTTTCACCATGTTAGCCAGGCTGGTCTCGAACTCCTGACCTCAGGTGATCCGCCCGCCTCGGCCTCCCAAAGTGCTGGGATTACAGGCATAAGCCACAGCGCCCGACCATATTTCAAGGCCTTTTTGCTCCACGTGCTGGTTGCCCTACCAGAACTAAACGGACAGAACTCGTTGCTCAGAGAAGTAGAGACACTTTCCTGGAGTCACACAGCAAAGGAGAGGCAAGGCCGAGGGTTCCCCCCTCTAGGTGGACATTGGGTTCCTGTTGCCCGCCGCTTGGCACCGAGAGGGCCTCAGGGAATCACATGTCCGCCTGGCCTGGCCTGGTACCAAATGTTTATAGACAGGACGAGGGTCGCTGGAATCGCCTCGCTCCTTTCAGCTTGGCGCTAAGGCGCGAATCTCGATCCTCCTAGTATTTCTCTGGCGTCTGTCTCTATCTCAGTCTCTGCTTTTGTCTCTTTCTCCCTCCCTCCGCCCCAGTCTTTCCGTCTCTTTTTCCTCGAATGCACGTGGAATTCGGAATTGAAAATTGAGGTCAGAATCTCCCTTTTTCTTCCAGTTATCCGCGCCGCTGCCCCACGCCTAGCGGCTTGGATCTGCATAGACATCTATCTACCCGCAACAAGATCCGAGCTGCAGAAGCAAACCTAATCTGTCTCCGCACCATCCCCTGCTCTGTAGACCCACTGCCCCATCCCACGCCACATCCTTGAGGTTCAAGTAGCGACTCCAGCGGATGATTCGGAGAATGCCCTGCTTTCCAAAGGCCCCAACCCGTGTTTTTATTTTCTTTTTCCTTTGCCCGCTTGACCAACTTTGGTTTCTTTCAGGGCCCGGAGGTGCCTGCGCCGCGCTTGGCTTTGCTTTCCGCCGCCCCAGGAGACCCGGGACTGTGGTTTCCGCTCGCCACATCCCAGCCTGGTGCGCACACAAGAGCCTGGCGAGCTTCCCTCGCGCGCTTACAGTCAACTACTTTGGGCCTCGGTTTCCCTGCTCCTTGTAGATCAGAGAAGGGACGGGCGAAATGCCTGCGAGGGAGGGTTGGCGAATGGGTTGGTTGGTGGCAAGACTGCAGTTCTTGTACATGGACGGGGGTTGGGGGGTCAACACTGGAAGAACTCCTGCCTGACGCCAAGAGCCACCCGCTTTCCAGCTCGTCCCACTCCGCGGATGTTTACCCACCTTCATGCGCAGAGGAGGAGATGAAACACTGGGGATATCTTGTTTTCCACACTAGGAATGGAGCACACCAACTTCCATGGTCCCAGTCTCCCCTAAGTGGGACCTACAGCTTGGTGGGACTCTGCCATGCAGGTGTGCCAGGCTGCGTGTGTAGGCGAGGACAAGCCAGGTTCCAGCCAGCAGGTGCACACTCAGGTGTGTGCAGAGGTGGTCCCTTGTGGGCCTGCTTGGTCCACTGTGATAGCTGCTGACATTTGTAGACCGGGTCAGTGGCTTTCAACGAAGTGTTAGCCGACCTCCTGCTGAGCATTTGGAATTTAGGAGATGGCATATTGGAGGCTTGGAACTGTATCCCTCCATTTACCTCTGTAAGCCTCCCTTGCCGCCTCTGAAAAAAATGAGACTCTCAGGCTCTCCCACAGAGGAGCATTGCAAGGAGTAAGTGAAATCATGCATATGCATCGCTCAGCCCAGCCCCTGGCACACAGTGAGTGCTCATGAATCATTAGCTGTTTGGACTTGCTAAACTCTGTGCTTCCGTGTGTATATGTATGTGTGTGTGTAAATATATAAATCTATATATACAATAGTAAATATACACATATATTGATATATACATAATGATATATAAAATATATACTGAAGCACAGAGTTTATATATATAATACACACACACACACACACACACACACACACACAGACTACACTCTTAGAAGACTACCTGACATATATTATGCCTTCTCTCTATTATTATTCTTACTCTCTCTTGCCCAGTGCTGTTCCCATCTCAGCCTGAAACCCCACTACTTGTCTTCTCCCCAAGTTGATACTAAAGTGAGATCCTCCATTAAGCTTCCCACTGAAGAGTTAGCTCCTGTGAGCCCCTTTCCTGAATCCTGGGATCTCAAAACTGTGACGGATCCCAGAGACAAAGTGCTCCCTTCCTCTCCTTGCACTGGAGTTAGAGTCCCCAGCTAGGCTCAGAGACCCTGGTGTCCTAATTTTGAATCTAATCCCCTGCCTTTTCCACCATCTCCACTCTGTCCAGGTCTTCTCCATCTCCTGAGGTCAGGAGAAAAAGTTCTCAGACCTATTGAGAAATAAGAACTTGTAGAGAATAAAGGAACATTAGTGGGTGCTTGGAGCATCCATGGGTGGAGCCCCTGCAGCAATGATCTCTGAAAATGAGGAGGGGGCTGCATGTAAACAGGACCAGAGAGAATTTCTGACTCCTGGGGAGGCCCAGAGTCCTCCTGTCTCTCAACAGAAGCTATGTGGGGCTGAGGTCCCGACTCCCAGGGCCAGGCTACAATTGCAAAACTCCAAGCCAGCAGCAGAAGCCCACTGTCCCCCTTCCCAGTTCTCTGGGGGCATTGCAGATCCACCGAGGCAAGAGCTGGGGCTGTTCCCAACCCCCCAGCTTGAGCGTCTGGCGGGAGGGTGAGGAGATGAGCGGAAGGAGATGAGAAAGGTGGAAAAGAATGAGGACAGTGGAGTTGGGGAGGGAGGGTGACAGAAAGTGAGAGAGGGTATTTGGGGATGAGGGAAGAAGGACAAACAAGGGAGGAAGACAGACAGGCATGGAAGATAAAAAGAGACCCTTATATACCCACAGAGTGGGAGAGGCATGGAGAGGAGAAGAGGAGAAGAGATAAAGGTTAGAGACGAAGAGACAATGACAGAGAGAGATGGATCAGGCAGACTGGGGATGGGGTGAAAGGACAAAGATTAAGAAACACAGAGAGCAAGAAGCAAGTGCAGGGGCGAGGTGGGGGGGGGGAGGAGAAAGAGGGGGGAGAGAGAGAGAAGAGGTGAGACAAAGAAAGGGAGAAGCACCTGGAGGCAGAGAAAGTGGGGAAAGTGGGGACTAAGGAAAGCGGATGGGAAAGGAGTGGCCAAAAGGAAACATAAGAAAGATGGTGGGGAAATGGAGAGCCAGAGAGCCGGGCCACCCTCCCGATGTATTACTTGACATACGTATGAGATTATCTAGCACGGTATAAATGCCTCCATTAAATCACGATTGAGCTTCTCAAACCGACCAATTCCCGAATAGCCTCCAGCCCTTGGGGAATATGGTTTTCAAAACCGTATAAAGCATCAAATACTAACAACTTAGGAGAGAGGTTCTCATTCATTAGGGGTTTCCAGGGGCCCCCAGCAGGGCCTTTGTGGTAGAGGGTGGGGGAGAGTGTGTGGCTGGGATCTTGGGGAAAAAAGGCATTGTGTTTCTCTCTGTCATTGGCTTCACAGAAAAGCCTCTTCCCCACTCCAACAGCACGCTACACAAACTCACTAAGAAGTTCTTGTTGGTAGGGACTACTTGGCCAAGAAGAGAAAATGGAATTTCCCCAGAGTCCTCCTTATTCCCAGAGTGCATTTGGCCCAATAAAGAGGGGCTGCACAATTTCCTAGACATTCCTGCTTGCAACGGAGAGGGAGGGGACGATGAAGGGCAGCCTCCCTCCCAGCCTCTTGGGAAAACAGAACTTTGTTGAACCACAGGAGGCTGGTGGATGATGAGAAGGAAGGTTTGAGAGTAGTCTGGTGAAGGTGAAGTCCGCGTTTGCACCCCCTCCCCTGCCCCCTGCAGGCTCCCAACTCATCACTCCAACTAGTTCAAATAAACCGCAGCTCAACTTCCCTCACTCTACCTCCTCCCTTATTTGCCTCCCAGTCTGCCAGGAAAGGCATTTTAAAAGGTAGCTAATCAAGGATTTTTTTCCTTTTCTTTCTTTTCTTTTTTTTTTTTTTTTTTTGTTGGGAAGCCTTGTTTGCTTTGCTTTAACAAACAGCTGATAGAATTTGCTTTAAAGGAGCACTAAAAAAAAAAAAAAAAAAAAGAAAAGAAAAATGTGCCTACAGGGCACATGCCTGCATATCCGTGTGTGCCTGTGTGTGTGTGTGTGTGTGTGTGTGTGTGTGTGTGTTTAGACCTCCCGAGCTGGCTTGCAGTAATAAATGGAACCTGCTTCAGGTGCAGAAAGCTGGGAGGGGTCGAGGGGAGGAATGCACAGGCTGATTTACACCTGTCCCTACAGCTGCTATCGACAACACTTACAGCCTCCAGAAATGACCCTTGGTGCCGACTTGTCTGGAAGCCATCAGGGTTAGTTTTGAAGCAGGAATCTTCAAGTGGACCAGAGGGTGAGCTTTGCCCAGCCCCGCCTTCCCTGCCGTGGTCTTCAAGTGCTGCCCAGTGGAGCAGGCTGCCTGCTTCTCTCCCTCTCTGCCCACCTGCTCCTCCCTCTCTGTTTCTTCTCAGACAAATATCATCATTGACTTTCAGCTGTCTTTGGTGCTGCTGCCCAAGGAGGGCTGGGCAGGGTGCAGGGTTTCCAGCCAGCTCATCACCACCCCTTCCCCCCAGGAGCTGGGTCTGGCCCCAGGAATCTGTGTGGGATTCCTCGCTCTACCCTCCAGCCAGTTTCTGCCCTCTGCCACTGGCCTCAACCCACCCCACTGGCCAGACAGTTGAGTTACTGATAACTTCCAGATGCCTCTGGAATCTTGCTTCCAGTCCTCCCAGCACTCTGCCTGGTCTGCAAAAGTGGGGGCAGTGGGCAGCAGGCACCCTGCCCTGAAACTTGTTGCCACCTCTCAGAGGCTGATGAAAGCCGCACTCAGCTGGGCCCTTCAGGACGGGGGACCCTGGAGCCAGGGCACTCAGAAGGGATGTTTGACACCCACGCCAGGAACTTGGAGTCCCTGACTTTCTAGCCCAGGCCCTACAGAGGTTTAGGAGGACTGGGAGGGGGCAGATTGCAGGCCACCAGCTACCAGAGAAGCCACAAGGAAAGGCCTGGCACTTTCCCTGGGAATTAACAGGCACTGGGAAAGTATCTGGGTCCCCATTGCCTTACTGGTAGAACGGGGCAAGGGTGGGGGCAGGAACTGTAATATATACTACATTGACATTTTATTTTATTATTACTATTTTCAGACAGAGTCTCGCTCTGTTGCCCAGGCTGGAGTGCAGTGGCGCGATCTCTGCTCACTGCAACCTCCACCTCCCGGCTTCAAGCAATTCTCTCTGCCTCAGCCTCCCAAGTAGCTGGGATTACAAGCATGCACCACCACGCCCAGCTAATTTTTGTATTATTACTAGAGACGGGGTTTCGCTATATTGGCCAGGTTGGTCTAAAACTCCTAACCTCGGACAATCTGCCTGCCTCAGCCTCTCAAAGTGCTGAGATTACAGGCGTCAGCCACCGTGCCTGGCCTTATTACTATTTTTTGAGATGGGGGTCTCACTATGTTGCCCAGGGTGGTCTCAAGCTCCTGAGCTCAAGCGATCCTCCTGCCCCAGCCTCCCAAAGTGCTGGGATTACAGGCGTCAGCCACCGTGCCTGGCCTTATTACTATTTTTTGAGATGGGGGTCTCTCTATGTTGCCCAGGGTGGTCTCAGGCTCCTGAGCTCAAGCGATCCTCCTGCCCCAGCCTCCCAAAGTGCTGGGATTACATGCGTCAGCCACCGTACCTGGCCTTATTACTATTTTTTGAGATGAGGGTCTCTCTATGTTGCCCAGGGTGGTCTCAGGCTCCTGAGCTCAGGCGATCCTCCTGCCCCAGCCTCCCAAAGTGCTGGGATTACAGGCGTGAGCCGTGGCACAATGCCCTAATAGTGTACTTTTGAAGTTGGGATGAGCAGAACAACATTTCAGGATCCCAGTCACACCTGTAATGTTATATACAAACACCTGAGATTTCTTTTTTTTTTTTTTTTTTTGAGATGGAGTCTTGCTCTATTGCCCAGACTGGAGTGTAGTGGTGCAATCTCGACTTACTACAACCTCTGCCCCCTGGGTTCAGGCAATTCTCTTGCCTCAACCTCCTGAGTAGCTGGGACTACAGGCATGCGTCACCACACCCAGCTAATTTTTGTATATTTAGTAGAGACGGAGTTCCGCCATGTTGGCCAGGCTGGTCTTGAACTCCCAACCTCAGGTGATCCGCCTGCCTCAGCCTCCCAAAGTACTGAGATTACAGGCGTGAGCCACTGCACCTGGCCTAACACCTGAGATTTCTATTGGTGACCCAGTCACAGCCACTGCTAATCCCCCTGTGGTTTGTTGTCTATATTCATAATAGAAGGAAATACTAATTTCACTGCGAGTTTAGTGATAATGAAAGTGTGATTTTTTTTTTCCATCCAAGTTCACAGATCCATGAATTCTGTCCATGGTCTCCCACACCCCCATAAAAGTCTATTGGAAGATAACAGGGTATGAACCCCTGACTTATTAAGTAACTAATTGGTCTCTTGGTCCCTATAGGGACAGAGGAGGATTCTCATGAGAAATCGGCACAGTTTTGAAAGCTGGGGCAATGTGCTTGTACTGCGAGCCAAGGCAAAGAGACAGGTTTTGTGGAATAGAAAATCCATTCTGTGAACAGCTTTTCAAGGAATATTTCCCAGAGGGCCAGGAAAGAGCAAGGTCTGGCTTAGGCTGATTTTGGCTCAGAGACAGGGCTTGGGGAGGGAAGTTTCTCCTAAAAGTGTCTATCAATACCTCTATTCTAATACACGCACACTCTACCTCTGGGGTGAAGTTCTGGGCAGCTCTGGTCCCTCTGAAACTTCAGTTTTCCACCCAGAAAAAGAATCCCTCCCTCCCCTTTTCCCCCAACATCACGCTGTAAACACCTTTGCAGCTTTTTTGCCCCAAAGGATCTGTAGACAAGTCCTACCTTAGCACCAAGTAATCCCTTCACAAAGATAAGTCAGGAACTGAAGCATTTTTTGCCTTTAAACAGAGCACTTAGTGAAACACCTCTGCTCATGGAAGGGAAATTGCAAATGGCCCCAGGACAGCAGCACTCACTTTTCTTGGTGAAATACAGCTTCAAGAACTCTGAGCCGCTGGGACAGGCATTTGGAGGCTGATTTAAGTGACAGACAGAAATAAGAAAGCTGGAAACCCAGAACACCCATGAGTAAATCAAACGTGGCTTAGAGTTGAACAGGATGATCTCAGTGGATTCTGGGGTCCCAGCAAAATGAGAACAAAAGCATTTGTGAATCAGCTACACTACGCAAGATCCATGCCATGCTCTTTGCTTGCTTCATCTAAAGGTACCAATACTAGGTCTGATACTCATTCATTCATTCATTAACTCATTCATCCATTCTGCAAATGTTTACCAAGGGCCTACTATGTGTCTGGGGCTCAGGATGTAGCAGTGAATTAAGCACATTAAAAACTATTAGGCTGGCTGAGCGTGGTGACTCAGCCTGTAATCCCAGCACTTTGGGAGGCTAAGGCGGGTGGATCACTTGGAGCTCAGGAGTTCGAAACCAGCCTGGGCAAGATAGCAAAACCCTGTCTCTACCAAAAAGACAAAAAATTAGCCGGGCATGGTGGCACACGCCTATGGTCCCAGCTACTCTGCAGGCTGTGGTGGAAGGATTGCTTGAGCCTGGGAGGTGGAGGTTGTAGTGAGCTGAGATCGTGCCACTGCACTCCAACGTGGGTGACAGTGTGAGACCCTGACTCAAAAAAACAAAACAAAACAAAACAAAAAGAAACCAAACCAAACAAAAAATTATTGTCCCCAAAGACATTATAGTTGGGGAGAGAATGATCATAAACAAAAACAGATAAAATACATGTTTGATTGTGAAAAGTAACATTGAAAAAATAAAGCAGTTCGGGCAGTTCAGGCATAGGGATGGCAGGGCTTAATTTTAAAGGGTTGTCAGAGACAGTCTTACTGAGAAGGTGACCTTTTGGCCAAGAGCTGAGGGAGGTGAGGAACATTGGGGGTTGTAGGGGGAGCATGAGAGGGGAAAGATACAAGAGACTCACCTTTACTTGAACATTTCCTCTATATTGGACTCTGAATTAGGCTCTTTCTAGCCTTTTTTTTTTTTTTTTGGAGACCGAGTCTCGCTCTGTTGCCCAGGCTGGAGTGCAGTGGCACGATCTCGGCTCACCACAACCTCTGCCTCCCAGGTTAAAGTGATTCTCATGCCTCAGCCTCCTGAGTAGCTGGGATTACAGGTGTGCGCCACCACACCCAACTAATGTTTTGTATTTTTGTAGAGATGGGTTTTCGCCATGTTGCCCAGGCTGGTCTTGAACTTCTGGGCTCAAGTGATCCACCTGCCTGGGCCTCCCAAAGTGCTGGGATTACAGGTATGAGCCATCGTGCCTGGCCTACTCATTATTTTCTTTCCCATTCTACCATTGGGGAAATTGAGGCTTAGAAAGGTTAGGTAACTTGCTTGAAGTCACTCAAATAGCAGGAGGCAGAACTAGAATTAGAACTTGGGACTCAACTTCTCTTTCTTCCACACCAGGCTGCCTCTGACATGTTCCTGGGAAAAGTAAAAAAAGGAAAGATAATGGAGAGCAAAAAAAAAAAAAAAAAAAAAAGAAAAAAAAGAAAAAAAAAAAAGAAAGGTAATGGAGAAGAAGAAGAGCTAAGAGGAAAATAATCCTTTTAGCTAGGCCTTACACCTAGAGAAACTGAGGATCAGACAGGAAAAGTAATTGTCTAAGGTCACAAAGAAAAAAAAAATCATAATGGCTAAGGGTCTTAGCTCAGAGGTTGCCCCACTCTGCCTTTTCTTGTCTTGGTACCACATGGCAAGTGACTTTGGCCTTCCAGATCTCAGTTTGCTTATCTATAAAATAGGGCTAACCACAGGAGTTTAAGACCAGCCTGGGCAACATAGTGGGACCTCATCTTTGAAAACAAAAACAAAATTAGTTGGGTGTGGTGACGTGCACCTGTAGTCTCAGCTACTCGGGAAACTGAGGCAGGAGGATCACTTGAGCCCAGGTGGTTGAGGCTGTAGTGAGCTATGATGCTGCTACTGTAGTCCAGCCTGGGAAACAGAATAAGATCCTGTCTCCAAAAAAAGAAAAAAAAAAAGGTAAAATAAAATGGGGCTAATCGAATCTATCTTCCGTTCTTCCTTTCTTCCTTCCTTTCTTCCTTTCTTCCTTCCTTTCTTCCTTTCTTTCTTCATTCCTTCCTTCCTTTCTCTCTCTCTCTCTCTCTTTCTTTCTTTTGTCTCGTTCTGTTGCCAGGCTGGAGTGCAGTGCCATGATCTTGGCTCACTGCAACCTCCACCTCCCAGGTTCAAGTGATTCTACTGCGTCAGCCTCCCGAGTAGCTGTGACTGCAGGTGTACACCACCACACCCAGCTAATTTTTTTGTATTTTTAGTAGAGACAGGGTTTCACAGTGTTAGCCAGGAAGGGCTTGATCTCTTGACCTTGTAATCTACCCACCTTGGCCTCCCAGAGTGCTGGGATTACTACAGGCGTGAGCCACTGTGCCCGGGCTAATTTTTGTATTTTTAGTAGGGATGGGGTTTCACCTTGGCCAGCCTGGTCTCGAACTTCTGACCTCAGGTGATCCACCTGCCTCAGCCTCCCAAAGTGCTGGGATTACAGGCGTAAGCCACCAGTGCCCAGCCTGAGTACGATTTTTTTTTTGTTTGTTTGTAAACAACACGACCACAATAGTGTTATTGAACACGCCTCAAAAGACAATGATTACATCATCTTATGAACTCTCCATGTAATCCTCCACCATCCCTGATTGTACCCATTATTTTCTTTCTTTTTAAAAAATCAGCCAGGTGTGGTGGCTCACGCCTGTAATCTCAGAACTTTGGGAGACCAAGGCGAGCAGATCGCTTGAGCCCAGGAGCTCAAGACCACCCTGGGCAACATGGCGAAACCCCATCTCTGCTAAAAATATGCAAAAAGTAGCCAGGGGTGGTGGCATACGCCTGTAATCCCAACTACTCGGGAGGCAGTTCAGTGGCTCAGCCAAGAGAATTTAAACAAAACACATCATTGCTTGAAGCAGGAAAGTGGAGGTTGCAGTGAGCCAAGGTCATGCCACTGCACTCCAGCCTGGGCGGCAGATTGAGACTCACCCCAGCCCCAGATTTCTTAAAAGGACATCACATAATTCATAACTAAGGTTTGAGTAGATGCTATTCACTATCTGTATATATCTGCATTTCTAAGTTATATATGTCTTCTGTGAAGTTGACATATGAATTAAACTTCACTGAGACGGAAATTCCAAAGGATAATATTTAAAAATAAATGTGCATAGGAGTTGTTCTTGCACCCCGTGGTCTATTCATGAGCAATCTGGGGGTGGAGGGAACAACCTCATCAGGCATTTTCTAAATCTCGAGACCAGTCAGAACTCTGCTTACAAACCAAAGGAAAACGGAGCCCACGAAACTCCGTGGAAAGTGTTCATCTCTCTGATCTTCCGACTATTCACTGATTCTGGAAGAGGTAAAGGAAGGCTCTCCTGCCAAAGCCTTCATCAATTTAGGGGGATCCTGGGCAATGATATATACAAACCGGAAACTGCTTCAGGGAAGGGGGTAATATTTTTTTCATTTTTCTTTTTTAAGTGCTAGCTCCCTCAGAGCTCACGGGAGGCAGGTCAGTGGCTCACCCAAGAGACTTTAAACAAACCACATTGCCCGCAGGCTGGCTTGGTGAAGGAGGGGATTTACTTTTCTCCCCTCCGCCTGAGGGGTGTTAACAGCAGAATTAAGTCTGGGGAATCTGGCAGGGGCTTTCTTGCTACGGGGGAGGTGTGTCTGTGCCTCTTTGCAAAGCATTAATCACTGGTTTATAGAGGGGAGAGAAAAGAAACACGCACACACCATGCAGGAAGCTGGTGCGGCTGCTCAGTCTTGGGTTCCCTGAGAGGCAAATCTCCCCCTTCCCCAATTCCACTGGGATCAACTCAGCTTGCCTTTGTCCAGGCCTCCAGGGGAATGTGGGGGGGAAAACCCTTAGGAGATGGGGAGCAACCAGAGGAAATGCACCACTTTCTTTTATTTTTTGAGATGTGTATTTTTTGTCCAAGTGCAGTGGCTCACACCTGTAATCCCAGCACTCTGGGAGGCCAAGGAGGGAGGATCACTTGAGCCCAGGAGTTCAAGACTAAGCTGGGCAACATAGCAAGACCCTGTCTTTACAAAAAAATTTAAAAAATAAATAAGAAAGAAATATATTTTTATGCCAGAGAACGTATTCTTTTTAAAAAAGGATTTTTTAAATTCTGAATTTATTTACTTGGGATATCTTTTAATATTAATAGTTCACATTTAATTCTGTACTTGAAGAATCACCTTTATTCCAAAAAAAAAAAAAAAGCCAGTGTGGTGGCTTACACTTGCATTCCCAGCACTTTGGGAGGCTGAGTTGAGAGGCTTGCTTGAGACTAGGAGTTCGAGACCAGCCTGGGCAACATGGCATGGCCTTGTCTCTACAAAAAAATTAAAAAATTAACCAGGCATGGTGGCATGCAACTATAGTCCCAGCTACTTGGGAGGCTGAGGTAGGAGGATTGCTTGAGCCCAGGAGGTCCAGGCTGCAGTGAGCCATGAACGCTCCACTGTATTCCAGCCTAGGTGACAGAGTGAGACCCTGTAAAAAACAAAAACAGCCTAAGACAAAATGAGCGGTCCACCAGGAAAGGGGCGTACATAGCAGCTATGGATAAATCACAACTATCTGCTAGATAAATGGCAACAATGTCCAGGTGTTACCCAGACACAAGCCATTTTTTCCCCTCCACCTTTATCAATAATAAATGTCATACCCCATCAACTGGATCTCAAGACTTTTGCCTACACTGCAGGCAGATCTTACTAAATGGACTGAAAGTGCCAGGCTGAGCAAGTGATACTGAAAAACATTTACATCCTGAAACCCTCAGCAATTTGGACACATGCTTAACAGTGTCGGCCTCCGAAGGTTCCAACTGAATCCTTCTTCTTCTCTGGCAAGGAGTGCCACTTTATTGCAGCCATGATGTTGGATATGTCTTAAAATGAGCCTTCTAGGGTCCCTCCATGGTCAGTTCATCTGCTACCCTGCTGGCTCAAATCCATTTGCAATGGCTATAAAAGACTGTCAGCTGATGCTAGCAGTAAATCTCCTTTCATTCAAAAAGGCTGACAAGAGAGAAGCAGCTTGAGTTTTCACTCCAATCTTGCAAACTTGCAGTCCTGCTGTGCCGCCTTGTTTTTCAATACACAATCCCCACCCTCCCTCTGCAATGTTTCTATCCCGTGATGGTCAGGTGCAAAACTGGAGTCCGAGGTGTGGTTTCATGGTGGTAGAAGAAAGGTCAGATTGTGTTCCTTGCTTCTTAGGCTGGTGGCTGTTCATCTCACACAGCCTCTGTCCTTCTGTGTCTTTGTGAAAAATGGTGCACTTTTGCTGGCAAACAGGTTTTTCTGGCTGGTTACTCTTAAGGTGGATGTTTCCCTTGACTGAGGGAAGCCAGAGACTGTCAGGAATGTTTGCAAGTGAAGGAGGGTCGGTGGTGTTCTCAGAGCCTGAGACTGAGAAGTGAGGGAGTTAGTTGTAGACTCATATCTGAACCTATCTCTCAGGTTAGTCATGGCTCCCACTGGTCAAAAGGTTCTAGAAAAACAGCAGCAACCGGGCTTATTGATTGAAATTTCATGATCAAGTCAGACAAGCAAACTGGCAGAAAAGTGAGCTATGGGTTTTGAGTGAAAATATCTGGCTTCAGACTCTTCTATCCCAGATATGGTGAGCAAAGCCGGCCAGACAACCTCTCCAATCTACGATATCTATCAAATGGGGCTGGAGTGTCGTGCTCTATCTCCTGGGGCCTTTGGATAAAATCCTTGGCAAATTTTACATTGCAGAATGTTTGGAGATGGTTGTTACTATTATGGTAGTTATGACAATAAGGGAAACACCTTTTGGGAGTTAAATTAATTGACATTTATAAAACAAATGGGAAATTTCCTGCACGCTGTGCTGGGAAGGTGTGCATTGTGGGGAATTTGCAAGATGAAGCAATAGAATTGATACAGTTCCAGGTGATATACAGATTAGCTGCTCTTCAGATGTGTGAAAAGAGAAATCCTAGGGTGCCACATTCTTTGAGGAAGATCTGGGCGTGTTCCTGTAGAAGCATAAACATACACTCTCACACATTCAAACACATGTAGAACTGGAAGGTATAGGGCATGTGGAATTTTTGTTATTTTTGCCCTTTCTAATCTGTTCCCTATAGCAGCAGCCAGAGGATCATTTTATTTTATTTTCATCTTTTTACAGAGGATCATTTTATTTTATTTATTTTTAGCAGAGTCTTGCTCTGTCTCCCAGGCTGGAGTGCAGTGGCGTAATCTCAGCTCACTGCAACCTCTGCCTCCTGGGTTCCAGCCATTCTCCTGCCTCAGCCTCCCAAGTAGCTGGGACTACAGCCTCCCAAGTAGCTGGGACTACAGGTGCCCGGCTAATTTTTTTTCTTTTTTTTGTATTTTTAGTAGAGATGGGGTTTCTCCATGTTGGCCAGGCTGGTCTCGAACTCCTAGCCTCAAGTGATCCACCTGCCTCAGCCTCCCAAAGTGCTGGGATTACAGGCCTGAGTCACCATGACTGGCCCACAGGATCATTTTAGAATGCAAGTCAAATCAAATCATTCTTTATCGCCACATTATATATCTTCAATAGCTTCCCATTGCTCTTAAGGGAAGGACCAACATTTAATAGGTCTAGAAAGCCCCGCAGGATCTAGCTCCTGCTCTCTCTTCTCCAGCTCCATTAGTCTCATGTTCTCAGTCATTTTTTCTGCTCTTACCTTGTGATAAATTGAATTACTGACACCAAAACTTCATCCCAGGCTGGTGTGGTGGCTCATGCCTATAATTCCAGCACTTTGTTTGGGAGGCTGAGGCGGGAAGATCGAGACCAGGAATTCGAGACCAGTCTGGGTAACATAGCGAGACCTCATCTCTCCAAAAAAAAAAATGAAAAAAAAAAATCAAAACAACACTTCACATCCTTGTATTCATGCCGTGTGCCTGAGATTAGGCAATTTCCCTCTGATCTTTGACTTTAAGCTTGGTCATGTGATCTGCTTTGGCCAATCAAGGGTGAGCAGAAATGACTGGGCCAGTTCTGACCCCAGGCTTTTGGAGGCATTGCTTGTTTGTACTTGTCCTCTCATGCTTCTGTTACTGCTGTGAGGAGAGCTGGTGTTCCTTTGGCCTGGGGCCCACCCAGAATGGACACACTTGGGGGCAGACTGGAGCCCACCTTGCATCTGGAGCTAAGCTGTCAGACCTGCAGCTTGAAGCAGGGCAGCCTGGCTGAGGCCCACCCAGATCAGCCAACTTGCAAACACAGAAGAAACCAGTGCTTCTTGTGGTATGTCACTGAGGTTTTGCGGGTGTTTGTTTCGTGGCAGTAGCTGACTGATACAAGACCCCCTGGTTTTCTTTTCTTTTCTTATCTTTTCTTTAGAGACGGGATCTCAATCTGTTGCCCAGGCTGGAGTGTAGTGGCATGAGCACAGCTCACTGCAGCCTCAACCTTCTGGGCCGAAGTGATCCTCCCACCTCAGCCTGCTGAGTAGCTGGGACAACATGTGCACACCATCTTGTCTGGCTATTTTTTTTCTTTCTTTCTTTTTTTATTTTTATTTTTTAAAGAGATGGGGTCTTGCTATGTTGCCCAGGCTGGTCCCAAATTCCTGGCCTCAAGAGATCCTCCCACCTTGGCCTCTTAAATGTGCTGGGATGACAGGCATGAGCCACCATGCCGGGCCCTGATTTTCTTTTCATCACCCATCCTTGCCATGATTTCTCTGCCACACGACCCAGGATGCTGCCTTCTTTTTTTTTTTTTTTTGAGACAGAGTCTCACTCTGTCACCCAGGCTGGAGCGCAGTGGCATGATCTCGGCTCGCTGTAACTTTTGCTGCCCGGGTTCAAGCAATTCTCCTGCCTCAGCCTCCCGAGTAGCTGGGATTACAGGCACCTGCCACCATGCCCAGCTAATTTTTTTGTATTCTTAGTAGAGACAGGGTTTCACCATCTTGGCCAGGCTGATCTTGAACTCCTGACCTCGTGATCCACCTGCCTTGGCCTCCCAAAGTGCTGGGATTACAGGCGTGAGCCACCACGCCTGGCCAATGCTGCCTTCTTATTACTGAGAGATTTCTGTTCATCCTTCAGGTCTCAGCTCAAAGTTCATTGCTCTTGAGAAGCCTTTCCTAACTAACCCCTCAGGTGAGGGGTAAACCATTTATTACACACCCTCTCTAGCCCCATACCTCTCCTTCATGGCACTTATCAGAATTGTGCCTTTATGTGATCCTTCAGTTGCTGTCTATCTTCTTCCCTAATGCTTTATGAGGTTAGGAAGCTTCACTCTGGGTCACATTTGCATTCCTAGAACAAAACACAGTACCTTCCCAGGCACGCAGTAGGGGCTCAGTACATTTTGCTGAAATGAATCAATGAATGAAGGAGCTGAGCATCATTTCTCCAGGTTAAAATATTGTAAACTGAAAATGAGGCCAGGTGTAGTGGCTCATGCCTGTGATCCTAGCACTTTGGGAGGCCGAGATCGGTGGATCACTTGAGGTCAGGAGTTTCAGACCAGCCTCCCCAACATGGAAAAACCCCGTATCTACTGAAAATACAAATTTTAGCTAGGCGTGGCGATGCATGCCTGTAATGCCAGCTACTTGGGAGGCTGAGGCATGAGAATTGCTTGGGCCTGGGAGGTGGAGGTTGCAGTGAGCCGAGATTGTGCCACTGCACTCCAGCCTGGGTGACAGAGTGAGATTCTGTCTCAAAAAAAAAAAAAAAAAACCAAGGAAATGAACAGTTTATGTGGCCCAAAAGATCAGTATAGAAAAAGAGAATAAGGCCATGTACCACGGCTCATGCCTGTCATCCTAACACTTTGGGAGGCCAAGTAGGACCACTTGAGCCCAAGAGTTCAAGACCAGCCCAGGCAAAATGGTTAAACCCTTCCCTACAAAAAATACAAAAGCTACCTGGGAATGGTTGTGCTTGCCTGTAGTCCCAGCTACTTGGGAGGCTGAAGTGGGAAGTTTGCTTGAGCCCAGGAGGTTGAGGCTTCAGTGAGCTGTCATTGTGCCACTGCACTCCAGCCTGGGTGTCAGAGCGAGACCCTGTGTCCACAAAAAAAAAAAAAAAAAAAAAAGAGAGAGAATAAAGATATGAAACAAAGAAAATTCTATACACAGCAGCAAATCAACAAAGATAGGATAGAGAAGAAAATAAAGTTGGGTTGGTTGCATCTATCATTCATTCATTCATCCATTTGTTCACTCATCAAGAACATGCCAGGGGCTGGATGTGGTGGCTCACACCTGTAATCCCAGCACTTAGGGAGGCCAAGGCAAGAGGAGTTCGAGACCAGCCTGGCCAACATGGCGAAACTCTGTCTCTACCAAAAAACAAAATTAGCCGGACATTGTGGCGCTTGCCTGTAATCCCAGCTACTCAAGGGACGAGAATCACTTGAACCCAGGAGACAGAGGTCGCAGTAAGCAAAGATCGCACCACTGTACTCCAGCCTGGGCGACAGAGTGAGATTCTGCTAAAAATAAATAAATAAATAAAATAAAATGATCTGTCTCCAAAAAAAAATTAATTAAAAAAAAAAGAACATGTCAGGCCTTTAGAGTCTGCTGCATGATGCCCGGAAAGACTTCTAACATGGACGATCCTTGGGTTGAGCCTTGGAGGTTCAGAATTCAGGATGTGACAAGGACAGCTGCTGGCTACAACTGTGGCTATTGCTGCTCAGTGCTGTGGAGACTTCGAGGGAGGCATCAAGGAATGCTTCCTGGAGGAGGAGACTTTTGGGATGCACCACATACATGAGCCAAGTTCACCAGGTGGTGTTGGAGGAGAAGAGATGTTCAAGACAGAGGTAGCAGCACACAGAGATGAATAGGGGCAGAGAGTGTTCTGAGAATGGCAGATCATTTGGTGGAGTGAACCAGGGTGAGCTGAAGATATAAGAGTGCCTGGCTGGTGATTGGGTTGGCAAGTAATAAGGGTTGATATTTATTTATTTATTTATTCGAGATGAAGTTTCACTCTTGTTGCCCAGGCTGGAGTGTAGTGACGTGGCTCACTGCAACCTCCGCCTCCCAGGAGGAGCTGGGATTACAGCCTCAGCCTCCTGCCTTGGCCTCCTGAGTAGCTGGGATTATAGGCACCCGCCAGCATGCCTGGCTAACTTTTTGTATTTTTAGTAGAGATGGGCTTCGCCATGTTGGGCAGGCTGGTCTCGAACTCTTGATCTCAGGTGATCTGCCCGCCTCAGCCTCCCCAAGTGCTGGAATTACAGGCGTGAGCCACCGTGCCCTGCCAAGGGTTAATATTTATTGATCACTTACCCTGTGCCAGCACTATGTGAAACACTTAACACCCATGGAGTCTCATCCTAGCCTTACCCACCTCCATCACTAAGGAAGTTGGTACTGTTGTCACCCCTTTTAACAGATCAGGAAACTAAAACACAGAGAAGTCAAGTAACTTACCCAAGGTCATGGATAGATGGAGTGACTGGGTCAGGATTTGAACTCAGTCAACCTGGATCCATATCATGTGTCTCAGCCATCAGACAACACTGCCAGGGGCTTGTGGTGTGCTGGGCCCAACAGTCAGGACATTGCTCTTCATTGCTCTTTTTTTTTTTTTATTTATTTTTTTAAAGATAGGTTCTCACTCTGTTATCCAGGCTGGAGTGCAGTGGCACAATCACGGCTCACTACAGCCTCCCTCCTGGGCTCAAGTGATCCTCCCACCTTAGCCTCCCAGGTAGCTGGGACCACAGGTGCTCACCATCACACCCAGCTAACTTTTTGTATTTTTAGTAGGGATGGGAGTCTCACTATGTTACCCAGGCATAGTGAGACCTCCTCAAACTCCTGGGCTCAAGTGATCCGCCCGCCTCAGCCTCCCAAAGTGCTGTGATTACAGGCGTGTGCCACCGTGCCCAGCCAGCACACAGTTCTTGAGCTATGGCAAATCCTGGAAGGTTTTTGAACAGGGGACTGGTGTGGCCAGCTGTGGAATTTGTGGGAGCCAGGTTTGGGACAGTAGTTCAAGGCATGCATTGGCTAAATAAAAACAAAGAGGAGGCTCTAGGGGTAATGAGTGGACCGAGTTGGAGGTCAATTTAACAAGCAGCCAACAGCTTTATTGAGAAGTTCTCAGAAGCGGGAAGAGGAGATTGGTAGATTATGGGAGAAAATGAGGGAAGCAGCAAGATGCTCGGGAACAGATAAGGAAGATCTAAGTAAAATATTTCATTGAGGTGGGGGAGCCCAGTGATTTTTTTTCTGCCCAGACCTCAGTGCAGGAGCTAATGGAAAAAACCTAACCTGCGGTTATGACATTTGGGGTGGGGAGAAGTCAGATGAAAACGATAGAGGTATCAGAAGGAAAGGCTAATGGAATGACAAGGGAGGCATTAAAAGGCAATAAATCTGGCAGCCTGGATGGTATTTACCCAGGAATTCTGCAGAGGACGGTTAACTCTTAGAAACCTGCTCACCTGGGTCTGCAGCTGAGGCTGGTGGGCAGCCTACTCAGGCTCCTAACAAGGGGTTTGAGCCCATTCTCAGAAGAATCAGGCCCTAGAAGCGATATGTTTCTAGGCTGGGAGCCCGGGGAGTCTTTGGAGACAGATGGGAGCCCCAAATGGCGGAAGGATGGGCTGGTAAAAAGGGTTCCATCACTTCAATCACTGGGGAACATTCTCTAGAAGAGTTAATCAGCCCATGGGGAAGGGAGAACCACAAGATATAATTTATTTACCTACTGTGACAAGATCCTTCCCAGAAGGCTGTGGATGGTAATTCCCTGTAATTATATCTCAAGCGAGGTTCTTTAGGCTTGTAGACAGGTTAACTCATTAGTGTTCACAGCACACCTGGGAGAAAGGTCGGGGGTGATGGTCAACTTCAACAGCCTGATAGGGGAAACTGAGGCACTTTTCTGTCTACGCCAGCCAACTGGGGGCAATTGATCAGAAGAACAGAGAACTATAATTTTCCTAGCATTAAGTGTTTAAAGGGAGGCGAGAAAGAGATTAGGCACCAGCACCTGCGTTCAATTTCCCTTCTACCTGTGCTTTCTGTGTAATCTGAGAAAAGTCACTCAACAGCTCTGGGCTTCAGTTTGATCTACAAATAAAAAGAGCTGGGTGCAATGGACTGTATAGTTCCTGATTCATGAGCCTGTATGTTTGGGAATTTAACCTCCCTTTCAGTTAAGGAGAAATGCCAAGTTTGTTGTGTGATGATGAGGGTGGGTTTCGGTTAGACTGTAGGATGAACTCGGTCACGTTGTGATACATTCCTCATGACCTTCAGTGGTGGATAAGTCAAGGATTAGACTCTTCAGAGATCTAAAGGTATAAATGAGGAATAGCAAAGTTAGGATACCAGCTTTATGCCATATAGCAAACTACTTGTTGGGGGTCAGGGAGATGAAATGGGGGATTCCAAGGATGGCTGCAAAAATTCCTTCCATGCTCCTTTGTATTAGGCCTTTGCCCCTCCTCCTACCAAGAGGTGGAGTCTGGGCCCTGTGTGGGGGCTAACACCTGTAATCCCATCACTTTGGAAAGCCGAGGCAGGTGGATCACTTGAGGCCAGGAATTCAATACCAGCCTGGCCAGCATAGCAAAACTCCATCTCTACTAAAAATACAAAAATTAGCCAGGTGTGGTGGCACGTGCCTGTAATCCCAGCCACTCAGGAGGCTGAGGCAGGAGAATTGCTTGAACCTGGGAGGCGGAGGTTGTAGTGAGCCGAGATCATGCCACTGCAATCCAACCTGGGAGACAGAGCAAGACTCTGTCTCCAAAAAAAACAAAAAAACAAAAAAAAAAAACCAGGATATGGGGATAATGATGCTTTGTGACATCTCCTGATCTCCTCCTGGTACCATGGAAGGAAGCTTCAACTAGATCCTTGAGTGATGAGAGCTCATATCAAGACCCAGTTTCCAGCATTTAACCTACAAAGCTCTGACATATAGGGAGGCTATCTTAGGGGTCCTCACTCCAAAAACTGTCCAGCACAAGCCCACCCATCAGAAATGATACATCGTGGTTGCTTGAAGCCATTACAGTTGAGTGGTTTGTTTCAGAGCAAGTAATAACTGATGGATAATTAAGGTTTCAAGAAACCCTGATTTTTCTCACTTTTTGTTCTAAAGGTTGTCTTCTGCTCCTGATCTGGTTGGCTGGAGACACTTAGAAGCTATGGCCTTTCACCTGTAAGAGTTTCAATTTGCTTCAAGGAATGAAGTAACAGCTGTGAAAGTTCTTTGTGAACCATGAAGCAATCCTGATGTGTTGATTTTTTTTTTCTCACTTCTTTCGTTATTGGGTTAAGGACAGGAATTGAGGTAAAGGAAGGGGGAAGTTAGAGAAGGGAAGGGGAAGAAAGATGAGGAGAACAATAATTTACTGAGCACCTACTATGGGGCTAGGTGCTGAGTGATTCGCTTTCCATTCACTGTGGCCTCCACTCAACAATCCTATAAAAATGTGCATTCTATGAGCAAACTGAGGCTCAGGAAATGTAGGTGGCATGTCCAAAATTTCACAACCTTGTCAGAATCAGGATTTGAACTGAGGTCTGTCTGGATATAGTCACCAGACTTAGTTCATTCTTCCCAGTGGTCTGAACTCGTATGAAGAGAGCTGGACAGAGCTGATATCTGAGGCCATTTAAGATTTTAAAAAATAATAAATAATTTCGGCTGGGCACAGTGGCTTACGCTTGTAATCTCAGCACTTTGGGAGGTCGAGATGGGAAGATCACTTGAGATCAGGAGTTTGAGACCAGCCTGACCAACACGGAGAAACTCCATCTCTACTAAAAATGCAAAAATTAGCCAAGCATGGTGGTACACCTGTAGTCCCAGCTACTTGGGAGACTGAGGCAGGAGAATCACTTGAACCTGGGAGGTGGAGGTTGCAGTGAGCCGAGATCATGCCACTGCACTCCAGCCTGGGCAACAGAGGGAGACTCTGTTTCAAAAATAATAATAATAATAATAATATTTTAAAAATTCAACTTTTATTTTAGATTCAGAAGGTCATCTAAGATCTTTAGACTTCTACTTTACCTTTGTCTGAAACTGGGTTTTGGAGAGACAATTAGAAACTAGGATCTTTTTTTTCCAATTTCGCACTAACTTTATCGTGATCAGAGTCCTGGGAAAAACAGAATTCATTCAATTCTGTTCAATCAGGAAGTATTTAATACAGGACTATTTATAGAAAGGTGGACATGGCTGAAGAAACCAACAAGGGATGCTTAAGCACTCTGGGGCCAGCAATAGAGGAAGCAGGGGCCGGAACTGGGGTGTATGGAGCCCAGCAAGGGCTGGAACTGTGGGGGACGGGGCTGTCCCGCATGAGCTGTGGTCATGGAGCCTCACAGCCACTTCCAGGGAGAGGACAGGGAAGAGACACCCCAACTGGAACTTACTCCTATCTCCTGCCCATGCCTCCCATAAACAGGGCCCAATCAGAAACAGAGGCCATGGGGCTAGGGATGCATCTGCAGGGGTGCGGGGTGGCGCCCCAGCCCTGGTGGAGCATGGATCCGTGTGTTGGGGTGGGGTGGGGGATAAGCATCTCAGACAGAGCTGGCCTGTCCCCTCGTCCTTTTTGACCCTCTGATTGGGAACACACTCAGTGACCTTGGGAGTGTTTTACTCAAAGAAAGAGGACTCTTGGATGTATTTCAGTAGGTGCATGGGGGTTTTCCTGGAACCGTGGCGTGGTCCCCAAGCCCTGCACAAACACCCTCTCCACCTGTCAGCACTCCATAGGCTCAAGTGAGTCCCTGTCACACTTGGAGAAGAATTTGGAGCGTGTGTCTCCCAGCCACCCTCCAGCCCTTTTTTAGCGGGAGCCTTATTTTAAAGGATGTGTTTATTAGCTTAATCAGTTGCTTTTATTATCAGCTGTGTGACCTTGAGGATGTAACGTAACCTCTCTAGGTCTCGGTTTTCTTGTCTGTAAAATGGAAGGTTATGATGAGAATTAAGCATGGCCAAGTATTTGATGTCAGGCACTAAGTCAAAAAAAAAAAAAAAAAGGAATGTCCATGTATATGGCACTCAGACAGTGCCAGACACCAATTAAGTGCACAGTATTTGATAGTTATTTTCTTCCTCTTTTATCTCATCCTCTTCTTCCTTCGTCTCCTTCAGTCATGGAGTATGGACCCTGTGTATCAGAGAAAGCACAAGAAAAAATAATAGAATTCATAATTTCTCCCTTCCTTCGTTCCTTTCTTTTTTTTTTTTTTTTGAGACAGGGTCTCACTCTGTCGCCCAGGCTGGAGTGCAATGGTGTGGTCTTGGCTCACTGCAACCTCTGCCTCCTGGGTTCAAGTGATTCTTCTGCCTCAGCCTCCCAAGTAGCTGGGACTACAGGCGCGCACCACCACACCCAGCTAATTTTTGTATTTTTAGTAGAGACGAGGTTTTGCCATGTTGGCCAGGCTGGTCTCGAACTCCTGACCTCAAATGATCTGCCTGCCTCGGCCTCCCAAAGTGCTGGGATTACACGCGTGAGCCACTGCACCCGGCCTAATTGGTTAGATACTTTCTATGTGCCATGTGCTATGATAGGCCCTTGGTGTATTTGGTTGCTAATGGTTGCATTAGCACTGGGAATTTCCTTCCTTCCTTCCTTCCTTCCCTCCCTCTCTCTCTCTCTCTCTCTCTTTCTTTCTCTCTCTCTCACTCTCTCTTTCTCCTTTCACAGGGTCTCACTCTGATGCTCAGGCTGGAGTACAGTGGTGCAATCTCTGTCACTGCAAACTCCGCCTCCTGAGTTCAAGTGATTCTCCTGCCTCAGCCTCCCAAGCAGCTGGGACTACAGGTATGCACCACCACACCTGGCTAATTTTTTGTATTTTTAGTAGAGACGGGATTTTGCCATGTTGGCCAGGCTGGTCTCGAATTCCTGACCTCAAGTGATCCTTCTGCCTTAGTGTCCCAAAGTGCTGCATTTACAGGCATGAGCCACCACAGGGGGCCCAGGCTTAGAGATTTTAACTTGGCCAAGCCTATCCTCCTAGGAAATGGAAGGGCTAAGATACAAGGAGTACAAAGACAAGAGAGATTGGTTGGGACTCTGCTCTTTATTTTTATTTTTATACTATGGGGTCTTGCTCTTGTCACCCAAGCTACAGCAGTGGTACAATCACAGCTCGTTGCAGCCTTGAACTCTTGGGCTCAAACAAGCCTCCCACCTCAGCTTCCCGAGTAGCTTGGAATATAGGTGTGCACCACCATGCCTGGCTAATTTTTTATTTTTTGTAGAGATGGGGGTCTTGCTATGTTGCCCAGGCTGGTCTTGAACTCCTGGCCTCAAGCAATTCTCCCTCCTTGGCCTCTCAAAGCACTGGGATTATAGGTGTGAGCCACTGCACCTGACCCATTCTGCTCTTTAGATATCACTGCTTTGAGTGGTGGAGAAACCGGAGGGCAAGAACAACCACAAAGAACTGGAGCAGTCTGGAGTTGGTACTTGAGTTGAGTCCGCCTGAGAGTGTAGTGGAGAAGATGTGGTTCTTTGAATTTCTCTTTGGACCTGTAGTCTTCTTTTATTTTATTTATTTATTTATTTATTTTGGAGATGAAGTCTCACTTTGTCACCCAGGCTGGAGTGCAGTGGCACGATCTTGGCTCACTGCAACCTCTGCCTCCCTGGTTCAAGCAATTCTCCTTCCTCAGCTCCCCGAGTAGCTGGGACTACAGGAGCACGCCGCCATGCCCGGCTAGTTTTTTGTATTTTAGTAGAGACGGGGTTTCGCCATGTTGCCCAGGCTGGTCTTAAATTCCTGAGCTCAGGCAATCCACCCGCCTTGGCCTCCCAAAGGGCTGGTATTACAGGCGTGAGCCACCGCGCCCGGCTGTGTCGTCTTCTTTTAGAATTGTTTGTTTTTATTTTGTTGCACAGGCTGGTCTCTAACTCCTAGCCTCAAGCCATCCTCCCGCCTTGGCCTTCCAAAGTGCTGAGATTACAGGTGTGAGCAGCCATCACAACTAGCCTACAATAATTTACCTTAAAAACAAAACAGGCTGGGCGTGGTGGCTCATGCCTATAATCTGAGCACTTTAGGGGGGCCGAAGTGGGAGGATCGCTTAAGGCTAGGAGTTCAAGACCAGCCTAGGCAACGTAGTGAGACCTTCTCTCTACAAAACATCAAAAACATAGCCAGGCGTGGTGGCGCATGTCTATAGTCCAAGCTGCTTGGGAGGCTGAGGCAGGAGGATCACTTGAGCCTGGGAGGTCAAGGCTACAGTGAGCCATAATCACACCACTGCACTCCAGCCTGGGTGACAGAGCCAGACCTTGTCTCAAAAATAAATAAAAATTTAAAAGAAAACAACAACGCACATACACACAAACACAAAAACAACAACAGAACATTGTATTTATTAGCTAGGGCTGCCATAAGAATATACCACAGACTGGGTGGCTTAAACAACAGAAATGTATTCTCTCACAGTTCTGGAGGCTAGAAGTCTAAGAACAAGGTGCCTGCAGAGTTGTTTTCTGGCGTGGCCTCTCTCCTCAACTGCCCTCTTGCTGCCTCTCTGCATGGTCATTCTTCTGTCCAAGTGTGCCCCTGTGCCCCGGGTGTCTCTCCATGCATCCTAATCTTCTCTTCTCTTCTTCTTCTTCTTTTTTTTTTTTTTTTGGAAACAGTCTCACTCTGTCACCCAGGCTGCAGTGCAGTGGCACAGTCTCGGCCTACTGCAACCTCCACCTCTCCAGTTCAAGCGATTTTCCTGCCTCAACCTCCCAAGTAGCTAGGAATACAGGCACATGCCACCCTGCCCAGTTAATTTATTTTTTATTTTTTAGTAGAGATGAGGTTTCACCATGTTGGCCAGGCTGGTCTCAAACTCCTGGTCTCAAGTGATCCTCCTGCCTCGGCCTCCCAAAATGCTGGGATTACAGGCGCAAGCCACCGCGCCCAGCCCTTATCTTCTCTTCTTCTAAGGACACTGGTTATGTTGGAATATGGTCTATCCTAAAGGCCTGATTTACTTAATTATCTTTTTCAATGTTCTGTCTCCAAATACAGCCACATTTTGAAGGACCAGGAATTTGGGCTTTAAATTATGAATTTTGGGGGGACGTAATTCAGCCCATAGCAAATGCCTTTGGAATTATTATTATTATTATTGTTATTTTTTTCAGATGGAGTCTCTTGCTCTGTCACCCTGGCTGGAGTACAGTGGAGTGATCTCAGCTCACTGAAACCTCCGTCTCCCAGGTTCAAGCAATTCTCCTGCCTCAGCCTCCTGAGTAGCTGGGATTACAGGGGTGTGCCACCACACCTGGCTAATTTTTGTATTTTCAGTAGAGATGGGTTTTCACCATGTTGGCCAGGATGGTCTCGATCTCTTGACCTCGTGATCCACCGACCTTGGCCTTCCAAAGTGCTGGGATTACAGGTGTGAGCCACCGTGCCTGGCAAGCTTATTTGCAAAGCATCATCTAAAACCCTAGAAAGGAGGTGACATTATTATTCCCATTTTAAATTTTATTGTATGTATGTATTTATTTACTTACTTATTTACTTACTTTATTTTTACTTTCCAGACAGGGTCTCTCTTTGTTGCCTAGGCTGGAGTGCAGTGGAACGAACTTGGCTTATTGAAGCATTGACCACCTGGACCCAAGTGATTCTCCTACCTTAGCCTCTTGAATAGCTGTGACAACAGGTGTGCACTACCACACCCAGATAAATTTTGTAATTTTTATAGAGAGGGCATTTGACCATGTTGCCCAGGCTGGTCTCAAACTCCTGAGCTCAAGTGATACTCCTGCCTCGGCCTCCCAAAGTGCTGGGATTACAGGTATGAATCTCCGCACCTGGCCTATTTTATTTTATTTTTTATAGGGACCATTGCAATGGGGTCTTGCCAAGGGGGAGACAGAGGGTGGACTCAACTCCTCATTATCTCCATTTTACAGATGAAGAAAATGAGGCACTGAGAGATTACATAACTTCCCTTGAGTCATATTTGCTTGTAAGTGGTAAGGCTGGATGTTGAACCCAGGACAAAGGGGTATGTATGCATGTATGTATGTATTTATTTTTAATTTATTTTTTAAAGACAAGATCTCTGCTGTCACTCAGGCTCAAGTACAGTGGCAAGATCATAGCTTACTGCAGCCTTAACCTCCTGGGCTCAAGGAATCCTCCCGCCTCAGCCTCCTGAGTAGCTGGGAATATAGGTATATTCTGCTGTACCTGGCTAGATGTTAAAAGCTAGTGGCTTTTAAGCTTTGTGCTATACCACCTTTTTCAAGACCACTGAGTTCAGATAGTGACCTCAGAGTGAGGACACAATGGCACTCCAGCTCAGACAGGTCTCTGGGGATAGTGACAGAATTCTCTCTTCCCAGTGTCCACTCAAGGGACAGAATTCTGTACCTTAGGCCAGAATTTCCTCCAGTTCTTTCCATCCCTTGGGCAACCTACATATCTGTGGCCTATTCTAGGGGACTGGAAGTGACAGCTGAGACCTGCTTAGTGACGTGACATCATGGGAATTTGAGAGCACAGGCTTTGAGGCTGGCATGGTGATAGTAATTACTGGCCTCAGCATGACGGGGAGGGTGACTGAGATAAGCGCCTGGAAAGAGGCTGGCAGGGTGCCGGGCACTTAGAAGGCACCCGGTGTGGTGGAGATGGTTGGCCTTGTGGATTGTCCTGTAGTCTGTTAATTCCTAGGACTGGAATACTAATTTTATGGTTGGGGGATACTTGATAGAACTTGTTTCTGCAGGATGAGAAGGAAAATGCTCTGCAAATTTGCAGAGCACTGACTATAAAAATTGAGACCAGAGAACTTACTATAAGCTGGGTACCCTGGGAGGCACTGACATATATCATCTCACAATCTTTGCAAACAACTCTAGGGAACGGGACACCCCTGTTACAGATGAGGAGGCTGAGGATCAGAGATGAGCTTGCTCAAGGTCGCTTAGCTAGTAAGTGGTAGAATTGGGCTTCTGATCATTTCTTTTGCTTAAAGATTTCTTTGATGTGGGACTAGTTCCTTCCTCTCTGCTATATCATTTCTTTTTCTTTTTCTTTCTTTTTTGTAATTTTTTTTTTTTTTTGAGATGTGGTCTTGCTCTGTTGCCCAGGCTGGAATGCAGTGGCACAATCACGGCTCACTGCAGCCTCGACCAGCCAGGCTCAAGTGGTCCCCCCACCCCAGCTTCCCAAGTACCTGGGACTACAGGTGCACACCACCATGTTCAGCTAATTTTTAAATTTTTTGTAGAGAAACGGTCTTGTCATGTTTCCCAGGCTGGTCTTGAACTCTGGGGCGCAAGCAATCCTCTCTCCTGGGTCTCTCAAAGTGCTGGGATTACAGGCATGAAGCACTGTGCCCAGCCTCCTCCATGTCTTTCTTTCTTTTTTTTTTTTTTTTTTTTTTTTTTTTTTGAGACAGAGTCTTGCTCTGCCACCCAGGCTGGAATGCAGTGGCGCGATCTCAGCTCACTGCAGCCTCCGCCTTCCGGGTACAAGTGATTCTCCTGTCTCAGCCCCCCGAGCAGCTGGGAATATAGGTGCCCACCATCATGCCCGGCTAATTTTTGTATTTTTAGTAGAGACAGGGTTTTGCCATATTGGCCAGGCTGGTCTCGAACTCCTGACCTTAGGCGATCTGCCTGTCTCGTCCTCCCAAAGTGCTGGGATTACAGGCATGAGCCACTGCACCTGGCCCCTCCATGTTTTTCAAGTCTGCTCACATGATCCTTCTCATTAAGGCCTCTGCTGTCCATCCCATCCAAGATTGCAAACCTCTCCTTCCCCCTCCAAACTACCTTGCTCTTGTTCATTCTATTTTGATAGTGCATCTTGCCTTTTATTTTAGTTGATTTTTATTTTTTGTGGCGGGGCAGAGTCTCACTCTGCTGCCCAGGTGGAGTGCAGTGGCATGATCTCAGCTCACTTCAACCTCTGCCTCCTGGGTTCAAGAGATTCTTGTGCCTCAGCCTCCTGAGTAGCTGGGATTACAAGCTTGCACCACCATGCCTGGCTAATTTTTGTATTTTTAGGGGAGGCGGGGTTTCACCATGTTGGCCAGGCTGGTCTCAAACTCTTGGCCTCAAGTGATCCACCTGCCTCGGCCTCCCAAAGTGCTGGGATTACAGGCGTGGGCCACTGCGCCCGGCTACATCTTGCCTTTTAACAAGCCATGGAATTCCCTTACTTATGATGCTTGTGCTTGATTATATTTCTCTTTATAGTAAAATGTAAGCTCCATTAGTGTTTAAAAAGTATTTATCTTTATTTAAACATTTTAATCGATACATAATATTTGTATATATTTGTACAAATGTGTACAAATATTTATGGGGCACATGTGATATTTTGATACATCCATACAACATGTAATGATCAAGTCAGGGTATTTAGGCATGGGCATTTTTGTGGATTTTCAAAATAGTCATGGGACTGGGCATGGTGGCTCATATCTGTGATCCCAGCACTTCTGGAGACTGAGGTGGGAGAATTGCTTGAGCCCAGGAGTTTGAGACTAGCCTGGGCAACATAGAGAGACCTCACCTCTACTTAAAATTTAAAAATTAGCTGAGCATGGTGGTGCACACCTGTAGTCCCAGCTACTCGGGAGGCTGAGGTGGGAGGATCACTGGAGCCCAGGAGGTCGAGGCTGAGGTGAGTTGTAATCATACCACTGCCCCTCCAGACTGGATGACACAGCAAGACCCTGTCTCAATTAAAAACAAAAACAAAAAACAAAACTCCAACCCAAAACCAAATGAAAGACAAAACAGTCGTGGGTTAAATGAACACATCAACTTCCCACTCCAAGTTGAGAGCTCCTTTTATTACACCTAAAAGTTTTTCTGGACCAGGCATGGTGGCTCACATCTGAAATCCCAGTACTTTGGGAGGCTGGGGTGGACGGATCACTTGAGGTGATGAGTTCGAGACCAGCCTGGCCAACATGGTGAAACCCCACCTGTACTAAAAATACAAAATTAGCCTGGCATGGTGGTGCATGCCTGTAATCCCAGCTACTTGGGAGGCTGAGGCAGGAGAATCACTTGAATCTGGGAGGTGGAGGTTGCAGTGAGCTGAGATTGTGCCACTGCACTCTGGCCTGGGAGACAGAGTGAGACTCCGTCTCAAATAAAATTTTAAAAATGTTTTTCTGAACACGACTTCCTGTGTCTTTTGAATAGGGATGGATTACATTATCTCAGCCAACATCTCAGGCCTTCTCAGAAGGTCAAGCACAGTAATGGATGTAATAGCATCATGTCTAACAAAGTGTTAGGCCAGTGAACGTGAGGGTGCTGGCTGTTCTTCCTTTCCCTGATCCCAGGGCTGGGCACCTCCCTGCTTTGCCTCCTGTTTGTCTAATCAGTGTGTTCCCCTGGCTGGTTTTCATCTCCTTTTCCATAGCTTTCCCCTTCCCACGCCAGGGATGCCACGTGGCTGCTCCATCATTTATAGTGACGGCCAAATAATTGAATTGTTATTGGTTTGGAGCGGGGTGAGGGAGGGGGAGAGATTTTTGCTAAATTGTTTCACTTTAGATAATGTTCATCTCCTGCTCTGTTGTGATTTATTTCTGCTGTTGGCAGTCTTGCTTTCTGGAAATTAATTCTCTGATTGGAATGGAAAGGAAAGTTGGTGGTGGCAGGGTGTGTGGTGTGGGGATTCCTTTTGGACGTAAGATCTGGATGAAGAGCTGGTCTGAGTTTCTCTGGGAGTGGCTGGAGGGAGGAGAGAATTTGGGTGTTGAGAATCTCGGGGTGCCTAGTATGTGCTCCTCACTTTATTTGAGTGGCACATTGTATTATAATCTCTTGAATCCGGTGGGCCTTAGGCTCCGGTCATCTGCTGTTTATATGGGCACACTCACTTCCCAGATCTCCTCTGGAAGACCCTCATATCCACATTTTGCAGATGGGAAAATTGAGGCTCAGACTGATGCATGTCATTGTACCAGGTATCTACTGCTCTGTAACAAACCACCCCAAACTTAGTGGCCTAGGAACAACTGTTTTATTATGTTCACAGATTCTGTGGGTCAGGCATTTAGGAATGAAACAGTGGGAATAGCTTGTTTCTACTCTGTGATGTCTGGGCCTCAGGTGGGAAGACTTGAATGACTGGGCGTGTTTTGAATAGCTCAGAGCCTGAGCCATCTGAAGCCTCTTTTACTCATATGTCTGGAACTGAGGCTGGATGACTCAAAGGCAGGCCTCAGCTGGGACAGTTGATTGGAGGACCTCCACATGGCCTCTTCTTGCATCTTGGGATTCTTCAAGTCATGGTGACCAAATTCTAAGACGTTCTTGAGATTGAACACAAGAGAACATGTGTTCTGGGAGAACCAAGTGGAAGCTGAATGGTCTTTTTCGACCTGGCCTTAGAGTCAGGCAGCATCACTTGCTAGAGCAGAATGCAGGCCTAAAATCTGACCAGAGAATTCAGTGGAGACAGAGAGCAAGAGCACGTCTGGAGAAAAGTGCCCCACTCCCCAACCCTGCCAGAGGATGCTTATTGAAGAGGCCACACCATGGGTTCCGAAACAAGGTCACTCAGTAAAAAAGGTCTATTGGTTATATGTGTGTGTGTGTGTGTGTGTGTGTGTGTGTGTGTATACACAGTTATATGCATGTGTGTATTTTATATATATATATATTTTTTTTTCTTTTTCCTTTTTTTTCTGCAGGGAAAATCCCAACTCTGGCCTTAAATAATAAAGACTTTTTGTTGTAATCCCAGCACTTTGGGAGGCTGAGGCAGGTAGATCAGTTGAGGTCAGGAGTTTGAGACCGGCCTGGCCAACATAGTGAAACTCCGTCTCTACTAAAAATACAAAAATTAGGCCAGGAGCAGTGGCTCACACCTGTAATCCCAGCACTTTGGGAGGCCGAGGCAGGTGGATCACTTGAGGCGAGGAGTTCAAGACCAGCCTGGCCAGCATAGCAAAACTCCGTCTCTACTAAAAATACAAAAATTAGCCGGGTGTGGTGGCGCGTGCCTATAGTCCCAGCTACTCAGGAGGCTGAGGCAGGAGAATTGATTGAACCCGGGAGATGGAGGTTGCAGTGAGCTGAGATTGTGCCACTGCACTCCACCCTGGGCAACAGAGTGAGACCCTGTCTCAAAGAAGAAAAGCAAATTTAGCCGGCTGTGGTGGCATGAGCCTGTCATCCCTGCTACTTGGGAAGCTGAGGTGGGAGAATCACTTGAAGCTGGGAGGCAGAGGTTGCAGTGAGCCAAGATTGTGCTATTGCACTCCATCTTCAGCCAAAAAAAAAAAAAAGATTGTTTTTTTCATAACTAGAACTCCAGAAGTAAGGAAAGCTAGTTAATTTGATGGTTCAAAAAGTCATCAAGAGCTGGGCACAGTGGCTCACATCTGTAATCCCAGCACTTTGGGAGGCTGAGGCAGGTGGATCACCTGAGGTCAGGAGTTTGAGACCAGCTTGGGCAACATGGTGAAACCCTGTCTCCACTAAAAATACAAAAATTAGCTGGGCGTGGTGGCACACGCCTGTGGTCCCAGCTACTCAGCAGGCTGAGGCAGGAGAGTCGCTTGAACCCGGGAGGTGGAGGTTGCATTGAGCCGAGATCATGCCATTGCATTCCAGCCTGGGTGGCAGAGTGAGACTCTGTCTCAAAATAATAATAATAATAATAATAATAATAATAATAATAATAATAATTTTAAAAAAAGAAGAGGAAAAAGAGAGAAGTCACCCATCCAAAGTGGCTTGGCTAGTAAGTGGCAGAATCAGATTCGAACCAAGGCAGTCTGTCTGCAGTGCCCTCTCATGAAAGCACTGTGCTACACTTCTCTCTTTTGAGATGGGGTATAGGAAAAAGAGAGAGAGAGAGAAACCAAACACACACCCCTTTAAGCAGAGAGAAAGGGAATCCGATGTGGCTGAGCATAGGGTTGGCCCCGACAGTCATCTCTTACAGATAGATATATTGACTAAGCTCAGAAAGCCTACATGGTAAGTCCAAGGTCCCAGGAAGTTAAGTGGCAGAACCAGGATTTATATCCAGATTCAGATCACTGGGCTTTTCCCAACTTTTTTTTTTTTTTTTTGAGATGGAGTCTCGCTCTGTCACCTAGGCTGGAGTGCAGTGGCGTGATCTCGGTTCACTGCAACCTCCGCCTCCCAGGTTCAAGCAATTCTCTGCCTCAACCTCCTGAGTAGCTGGGATTACAGGCGCCCACCACCACACCCAGCTACTTTTTTGTATTTTTAGTAGAGATGGGGTCTCACTGTGTTAGCCAGGATGGTCTTGAACTCCTGACCTCGTGATCCACCCACCTCGGACTCCCAAAGTGCTGGGATTACAGGCGTGAGCCACCGTGCCCGGCTTCCCAACATTTTTATCCTGTTCACCTTACCTCCCATCATTATCTCAACTTTTAAAATTTGTTTAATTTTAAACTGAAATGAACAGGGGAAAGTATCTGCCAGGGGAGAGAGGTACAGAATGAATGGGATTGGTACTGAGTTGCTGCTGGTAACCCATGGAGGAAGAAGGCAGGATGCAGGATCTGATGTTTAATGGATTCTTCGAGTCTGATGACAGCAGCTTCATTCCAGGCTTAAGTGCATCTAGCCACGGGCTCCTAGTTGGTTGGACCAGAGAGGGGCAGAGCCAGAGGCCTCATGGATGGGGCCTGACTGGGTTCTAGGGAGAGGTGCAGGTTAAGGCAGGATCAACCTCTTCTGCAGCATACAGAACTGGCCTCTGGGAGAGGAGGATGGGGAGATGATGACTTCTTCCCTCTCCTGTTTCCCCACCCATTGCCCAAAGCACAGCAACAGGCCAATGGGCAGTGTCCTCACATGGGCAGTCCTAGGTTGGTGGGGGTCGGTGGGGGATCCCTCCCTCATCCTGGTTGGCTGAGAGGGCCACACACAGACACAGACAGACAGAGGTCTCTCTGAAATGGATGGTTAATTGTCTCCAGGCCAGGGAGACCTGCAGAATTAGGGCTTTCCGGGACTGGACCAGGAGACCTGGGAGGCAGAGACCCTGCCCCTACCCCCAGCCCTCTCATTTCCTTGCCAGCAGTCCAGAAATCCAGGTCGTTTTCAAAGCCTGAGGCTGCTGTCTACCCAAGCATGGGGTCACTTCCGGGGTCAC